>NC_000006.12:5211515-5363030 GCF_000001405.40 Homo sapiens | reverse complement strand
GGTGTGAACCCAGGAGGCAGAGCTTGCAGTGGGCCGAGATCGCGCCACTGCACTCCAGCCTGGGCGACAGAGTGAGACTCCATGTCAAAAAAAAAAAAAAAAAGAAAGAAAGAAAAATGGGCAAAGGATCTGAATAAAGATTTCTGAAAAGAAGACATATAAATGGTCAATAGGTATGTGAAAAAAAATCCTCAAAATCACTAGTCATCAGAGAAATGCAAATCAAAAGCACAATGAGATAGATACACTTTACACCTGTTAGAACCGCTATTACCAAAAAGAAAAGGTAAGTGTTGGTGAGGATGTGGAGAAAAAGGAACCACTGTACACTGTTGGTGGGAATTTAGAGGAGTATAACCATTATGGGAAATAGTATGGAGGTTCAA
Source organism: Homo sapiens (assembly GCF_000001405.40). Classification (NCBI taxonomy): domain Eukaryota; kingdom Metazoa; phylum Chordata; class Mammalia; order Primates; family Hominidae; genus Homo; species Homo sapiens. Next base: position 5,362,644 of record NC_000006.12, on the reverse strand, counting down.
AAAAATTTAAAAATAGAACTATTAACATATGATCCAGCAATCCCACTTCTGTGTATATAACACAGGAAATGAAATCAGCATGTCAAAGAGACATCTGCACCCCCTTGTTCACTGCAGCATTATTCACAATGGCCAAGATATGGGATCCACCTAAATGTCCATCAACAGATGAGTGTATAAAGAAAATGTGATGTATGTATACAATAGAATATTATTCAGCCTTTAGACAGAAGTAAATCCTGTGATTTGTGACAAGGATGAACTAGGAGAACTCTCGCTCTCTCTCTGAATCTTACTTTCCCTATATTTCTCAACGTGAAAATAACATATACCTTGCATTGGTAATAAGAGTATTAAACAACAATGAAGGTAAAAAACAGCACAGTATCTTGAAGGAATATAACAGGTACTCAATAAATGGCAGCAATTATCATTATTATTATTATTTCTATCATTACTATTGGAATACAGCTGCCTGGAATGTCCAAACAGTGGGCATGGTGGTCAAGTCCACTTCTCTACAAGACTGCTCTAAGAAGTAACATTTCGAAAGGTATCTGAAGCATCTGTTACATGGTCATGGATCACATTTGGATTATTTTGCTTGTTTTTCATTTTGGACACATTCAGAATGCTGTAAGCATTCTTTGGCACAATGACAACAACTAGTAAAATACTGAATAAATGTTTGTTGTTAGAATGAATGAGTTTTATAATCATTTCAACAGTCCTTTCAACCTCCCTCATTCTTCTGTGTAAAGAAAACATTAAGTAGTACACAAACTGTACTGGACTGATCATTTCCCTAAAGCATAATTAGCTTCAGGGAAATAGCCAATGGTGAGCAGGCATAACCCATATATGGTCACCACTAGACAAAAGTGTTCAAGCACAATCCATAACCACCAGATGCAATACTCACACAATTTCTATCAAGAAAAAATGAAGCTTGGTTCAGTCAACACAGTTATACATTTTATTCTACTAAACAATGGTGGGAAAATGGCCAACTTCCATTAACTTCTACTGATACAAAGCCAAGTCAAGAGAATGCTTTTGCTCCTGCTGACTAGTATGAACAAAAAGAGAAGGGCTATAAGCAGGCAGTTTCCTGCATTACTCGTGAGGGTGTCATTGGCGCAACCTTTCTAGAAAGCAATTCAGCACTATCAAGAGACTTAAAACTGTTCATACCCTTTGACAGGGTAATTACCCTTCTGGGAATCTATCACAAGGAAATAATGTAAATGAAGACAGAAGTTAAACACAAAGAAGTTTCATTACAGTATTATTTATAACAGAAAAAAAATTATACACCACATAAATGTCCCACAACAAGGGAATGATTAAGCAAATTATGGGAGACCATACAATAAAATATTATGCAGTCATTAAATATAATGGTTGCAACGAGTTTGAATGATACAACTACATAAAGTGATAAACAGGATATAAAATTGTATGTACGATATGATCTTAACTCTATAAATATACACCTACCTATAAACACATGCATATCATATTTAGAAACCATGAGAAGAACTAGCCAAAAGATTTCATAGCAATTTATCCCTGGTGCTTATTTTCTATTTTATGTATTTATATTTCCAAATATTCTAAATAGACATTCATTATATTTTAAATTAAACTTTAAAACCATTGTCCTATCTCGCCAAGTTTCAACTGTGCTTAGTTTCTGTGGCTTCTTTGGTTCAGGTAATATAAGCATTCTCTAGCCTGATCTTCTCTGTTTCACTAAAAATGTCTTGAATACTGACATCAATTTTTCTAAATTCAGAACATTCTCCTTCTACTAACATAACATCATAAATTTTAAACTGTACAAGCTCAGCTCCTGATCCTGGTTATCCTATCCAGACCTTCTTTCTGAGAGGGAGGATAAAATTTTTTAAAGTTCATGGGCAAATGAAATCAATTATCAGGGACAAGGTCACACATTATCTAGATATCTACCTTGGAGAATACTTGGGGGTTATTCTTACAGGGACTTTGTGTAATACGCAAATAATAAGATCACCAGGAAGCCAGCTTGGATGCACAGAAGAACAGAATATGCTGGGTCTACAAATTCTGGAACTAACTCTGCACCGGGCAAACCTATCTCCCATTAGCTTTGTTGAAATCAATATAAATAAGCTGGATGTTTAAAATAGAAATACATTTTTCATGCCAAATGACCCAGGCAGTAATTACCTGTAGACATGTATACCTCTCCCACTAGAAAATAAGACTTTGAGGGCAGGAGCCATTCATTTGATTGTTTCTATAAGATGGTCAGGCACAGGAAGTAAGTGCCCAAAGAAACTGCTTCTTCCATGAATGAATGAATGAAAAAAATGAATGAATGGCTCCCTTACCACACTGCTACAATTGTTTCTAGTGAGCTCAAGAAAAAACAAGTTGCATAGTACCATTCAACCAATACAAGGACAAATGAACAGTGCATTTTGAAATCGTTAATTTGAAGTAACATGAAATGCCTGGGAGAAAATGTTAATATACAGTTGTACCGAGAGCATCTCACACCCTTTTCCTGAGTTTCATCCATTTAGACTCAATTATTAATTTTTAGAGAATTTGGTGTACCTAATTTCTAGAACTGATTGCAGGCCCTGATACAATGACGTTGCTTCTAGACTAGGCACTTTAACAGCCTTGAAGAAGTGAATAACCTCTTTTCTGTGGTGGTTCATCAGGGTATGTTTTTCTGATTGATTCTGGAGCAAGTAAGTGACAAAAGACGAGCCCTCAAGGCAGGAAGCTGCAGCTCCGGCACATGAGAGTGTCTACAGCTCAGAACCCCAGCAGCCCCTTACCATTCACAAATGCTCTTGGCTTCCATGGATAAATGTAAGTATTTTTAGGTCAAATGGCTATTTACTTATCTATCATTGGTCTCAACAACGTATTTAAGGCATGGTTTATAACCATCAGTAAGAGTTTGGCACTGGATTTCACTGCCCGGGGCACATGGCTTCCACAGGTTGGCAAAGGCCCAACACAATATTAATGAGTATGCCATTTGTCAAGACAATTATACAAGCACTTGGCAACTGCATGAAGAGGGCAAGCCTTATGAGAGACAGTGCCAGGGCATATGGATCAGAGAGCCCAAGAAATCCTTTGACACTTCAGTCTTCTTTTGTAATAGCTACCTTTTGTGCAGACAATGTCTTTTTAAAAAAATAAGTCTAATGGGGGGAAAAGTAGTGAGGGAAGCAATTCTAAAACAATTATTATCTCAATATACCATGCCATCTTCCCCATTAAGAAGAGATATCTTGGCCGGGAGCAATGCCTCATGCCTGTAATGCCAGCACTTTGGGAGGCCGAGGTGGGCGGATCACCCTGAGGTCAGGAGTTTGGGAATGGCCTGGCCAACATGGCGAAACCCCGCCGGTACTAAAAATACAAAAATTAGCCAGGCACAGTTGCACACACCTGTAATTCCAGCTACTGGGGAGGCTGAGGCGGGAGAATAGCTTGAACCCGGGAGGCGGAGGTTGCAGTGAACCGAGATTGCACCACTGCACTCCAGCCTGGGTGACAGAGCAAGCCTCCATATCAAAAAAAAAAAAAAAAAAAAAAAAAAAGGGTATCTTTTCATCACTATAATTCGATTGAGAAATGACTATCAATACTATTCTTTGCTAATAAATGCCATATATTCAAGAATGAGAGATTTGAAAGTGTTCTGTCACACTGGAAACTTCTATACCCATGAGAAACATATCTTGTGACAAACACAAAAACAAATAGAAAAATATAACTTTTAGAAGTTTTTTTTTAGACACAAATCATAGTACTTAGTTCCAAAAGAAATCCGTTTTGCTGTCCTAAGTCAAAAGGTTAAAATCTGTAATTAAATGAATACATAAGAGAATGACTACAGACCAAAGACACTGCAAAATTAATCTGAAGTGTCTAAAGATATCACCGTATTTGGAATTGTAGTGATTCCCAATCATTCTTTTGCTTTTTTAACTTTCAAAAATATATTCAGTTAAAATTAAGTTCACATTACCAATATCCATTTGTACCAATGCTTTCCAAAACATATCAGGGAAAAAAATCCTCTCAATAAATGGAAAAAGCACAATACATACTCTGGCTTTCTCTCTCTCTCTTACACAAAAATATCAAAATCATCCTTCATGTTTTTAAGCATCTCAACAAAATCATTTATTTTTGTTTTTAACAAATGGTATTAACTAAACTATAGCTCTACATATTCCATATTTGGGGAATGTTGGCATAATTAATTATCCATAATATTCAGCATTTAAAAGAATTTTATAATAATCTTACTATGTACATATATATATAACAGTTTTTAAACTAAAAATATTCAGCTAATGAAAAAGAATCAAGTTTTCCCCCACAAACAATTTAGCAAGCAGAATAGTTATGGCAAGTAAAATTAAAAATTTTTTTAAATCAACTCTCTAAACCACATATTAAAAACTATTTTAAGCAATTAAAAACATTACTGTGCTACAGAAGAAATAGCCTCCAGGTTAAAAATCCTGTTCTCCTGAATATTCTAAATAAATTGATTATTTATAAGATTCTCTAAATGAAGTCACTGCATATAAACTCCTGGCTCTTGACTGTAGTGCAGCAATTACACAAAGGTTTTGTCAGTCTTTACACTCACAATTAGTAAGTAGAGTCTAACAGCCTGAAATATTTCTCTACCTACAAATGGTAAAGGAGCATCATCTTCTCTATGAAGCCGTTTCTTCATTACTCTTTTCTTTTAATCCTCATAACACCACTATGAAAGACAAACATTAATCTGTGAAAATCATGCCAAATGACCAAAAGTACTTAAGTGGCAGCACCAGGATTCAAACCAGGTTCACCTGACTCCTACCTGGTTCCAGTCCACCCCTGCTATTTCCATTGCCTGCCCTCTCCTAATGAATATTAGCCTACCTTGCATTTTTCAATAGATGTAGTCCTAGTAAGTTCTTGATAAAATTTCTTTTTAAGTCAAAACACATCTTCCCATTGACATGATCTATAATTCCAGAGATGTTTTACCTCTATGCAAACCATAACTTATCCTATATGCTCTCCTCGGGGAGAACTGAGCCATCTCTTCTCTCTTCCCAATTGTCTTCTGTACACACTTCACTCATGGCACATAAAACACTCACTAAACTTACTAGTTAGGATGCTAGTCCATCTGTCAGATCTTAAGCAACTTGAGGTCAGGGACAGTATGTCCTCAAGTTGCTTCAGACAATGTTTTGGACAATATGTCTATCCTTAAAAGGAATGTTTTTCCAAATCAAATGGAGTAAACCCATTATGAACATTTATGTTATACATTTCCAAATCACTGTTTAGCTAAGAAAAGATACCATTTATTTAACTCACAGTGATATTTCCAAAGCTCCATTTTCTCCCCATAATGGATCTAGTGACAAAGTAGTTGAAAAACTAAAGCACAGCACTGAAGTTCATTTAGGAAGTCCTTCGAAAAGATGGACATCAAACAACTTTTTATTTTATAATTCAGAGTAGGCTGTTCTATGCATGGTAAGTCATATCCTGAACATAGTGGCAAGATTGCTAGAAGAGTGGAATTCAGGCCTACATATCGGAGTTCCATTAACCCCAAACAGCCCCATCATACTGTGCTCTCTGCTAAAATTCCCGTTTAAAAAAAAAAAAAAATAGCCCTCCACTTCTCTATAACCTTTGTAGGTCTGTTGTAAGGATTAGCAATACACAAAATCATTTAGTTGAAATTGCAAAGCATATAAGAAATAATACATATGCCGTCCGTTCTTCTTATCTGCAGTATAGTCTATAAAGTTGCTATGACCGCTAAATTAGCAAACAGTGAAGCGCTGCTCCGAGGGGAAATATACAGTTGGTTTCCTGCGAGCCTCTGGTCACATTTTTGTCAAATAATCAGTATATAATATTGTCTTATGTGTGTTTCTGTTTAAAAATATTTAATACATATTATTGACTCATGAACATTGCACTCACAGCCAATAGCACTATCACTCATACCTAAATGAAGCTCTTAACATACATGTTTTCTCTGTAAGGCACATCACAGCCTTCTTGCACTTAGAGACACTATACAGCACTTTGGTCAGGTCTATCTGTCTAATCTATCTAATCTATCTATCTATCATCTATCTACCTATCATTTGACAGAGTCTCGCTCTGTCACCCAAGCTGGAGTGCAATGGTGCCATCTCAGCTCACTGCAACCCTCTGCCTCCCAGATTCAAGTGATTCTTGTGCCTCAGTCTCCCGAGTAGCTGGGATTACAGGCGTGCACCACCACACCCAGCTGATTTTTTGCATCCTTAGTAGAGATGAGGTCTCACCATGTTGGCCAGGCTGGTCTCGAACTCCTGGCCTCAAGTGATCCGCCCACCTCGGCCTCCCAAAGTGCTACAATTATAGGCGTAAGCCACAGCGCCTAGCCGTCTCGTCATTTTTAAACAGCAAAATCACCAACAAACAGCACAGAAAGGCGTGAAATGTGACACTACATAGACCATGAAAAGGACACTTGTTTACAGTTTGAGAGCTGAACAAGGCAGAACATCACCGTGTTCAACCTCAGCTGGGAACATGCGCATCGGGCAAGTCAGATTTATTCCCCCTGTTGTGCACATCTCTGTAAATGCCCATGAAAGCGCCTCAAGTGCTTATTTTGAGGTTAAAAACAGATTTTAGAGAGCAGGCAAATTCACAAGTACAGAATCCGTGAATAATATTGGGTTGAGTGTATATCAAGAAATTGATCATAGTAGGTGTCTCCAAGGAAGAGAATGATGTGGCTGGGAGACAGCAGGGAAAGAAATTTATGTTTTACCATTCGACTTTCTAACCTTTTGCATGTTATACCGTGTGTGTGCATGTGTGTCTGTGTGTGTGTGTGTATGTGAATATTATGACCACTGCTCAGAAAACAGCATTATAAATCTAAAAAGGCTGGGCATGGTGGCTCACACCTGTAATCCCAGCACTTTGGGAGGCCGAGGCGTACGGATCACAAGGTCAGGAGTTCAAGACCAGCCTGGCCAGCATGGTGAAACCCCATCTCTACTAAAATTACAAAAAAATTAGCCGGGCATGGTGGCACGCACCTGTAGTCCTAGCTACTCAGGAGGCTGAGGCAGGAGAACTGCTTGAACCCAGCAGGCAGAGGTTGCAGTGAGTTGAGATCACGCCTGGGTGACAGAGTGAGACTGTCTCAAAAAAAAAAAAAAAACAAAAAGGAAAACCTAAAAAAAGTAAAATTATCCTTTGGGTTCAAACAGTAAAAGGGAAGCAAAATAAAATTAAAAATATGAAAATAGAAAGAAGTAAATTCAAAAATGGAAAAATCACAAATATTTACAGTCTCTAAATTGAGGAAACCGAGGGCAGACTCCCATGGTGGAAGAATCACACAGAGAATTATTTAAAAGCAAAGAATCCCATGACTCTCAATTCACACCAAAGGAGGTGGGAGCTACAGGAAGTAGGATACAAAATTAAAATATTTTAAAAATAATTACTTAGTAAGGACTACGTTTTACACACAAGTTATGTTTCCCAGGAAATTTAAACTTATTTTAAATAACATTTAAAATAATTTTGAATACAACAGTAGTTCTCAAAATACAGTCCCAAGACCAGTGACATTGACATCACCAGAGAAGATGTTAGATTCTCAAGCCCTACCCTAGACCCAAAAAATAGGAACTCTGGGGCAGGGCACATCAGTCTGTACCTTAATAACCCTTCAGGGTGATTCTCATGCCAGCTACGGCTTGAAAACCACTAGCATAGGCCGGGCGCGGTGGCTCACACCTGTAATCCCAGCACTTTGGGAGGCCGAGGCAGGTGGATCACGAGGTCAGGAGATCGAGACCATCCTGGCTAACATGGTGAAACCCCATCTCTACTAAAAATACAAAAAGTTAGCTGGGCGTGGTGGCGGGCGCCTGTAGTCCCAGCTACTCGGGAGGCTGAGGCAGGAGAATGGCATGAACCTGGGAGGCGGAGCTTGCAGCGAGCAGAGATCGTGCCACTGCACTCCAGCCTGGGCAACAGAGTGAGACTCCATCTCAAAAAAAAAAAAAAAGGAAACCACTAGCATAGAAATCCACTGAAATGTTACTGTACTATTAAACAGAGGATATAAACATATTCTAAGCTTTTATCAATGACCATAGTAATCCTTTAAGAAAATCTGCATTCTGTGCAATCATAGATTTTTAGTGTTTTCATTTTTGCCCCTTTGATTTCCGTTGGTCAGCAGATCCTCTACTGTTATTATAATAATAGTACTCAGCTCCTCCATCCCCTCTGAGTCTCAGGCTTTCATGCTGTTGTAAGCTATCTGGGAAGCAAAATAATTAAGCTCATGAGAACTGAATGCTAAGTAGTTTCAATGAAATTGGGTAAAGACCTAGAGAATATGGTGTCTGGTTTTAGTGTAAGAGGATTGAAATGGCCATGTTTTATCTTTAGAGGCTTTGAATTCTCAGTCCTGGGCTGTGCTCCAGAGGATGACATGGAGAGAAAACTAATCTCTAGATGAGATGGAGATGTTAACATAGTAAGATTTGGGAGGAAAAAAAAAAAGATTTTATCACTTAGACCAGAATATATGTCTGTGACCACTGTTACAAGAAATCACTTTTAAAAAAAAAAAAAAGCAGCAAACAGGAGATGAAAAGCCTGGTTTGTCCTTCTGCCTTGGGCTTTGGTTCTGCCACAGTCACTATCACACCTGAGAAAGGACAGCTCTCTGGAATACCTACAGCATGAGAAAAAAATGTCTGCAAACTGTACATCTGACAAGGGGTTAATATTCAGAATATCTAAGAAGCTCAAACAACTCAATAGCAAAAAAAAAAAAAAAAAAAAAACACCAAATATTACAATTTAAAAACAGGTAAAAAAATCTGAAGAGACATACAAATGGCCAACAGATATATGAAAAACTGTTCAACATCATAAATCATCAGGGAAATGCAAATCAAAACCACAATGAGACATCACCTTGCCCCGGTTAGAATGGCTACAAAAAATAAATCCTGGCAAGGATGCAGAGAAAGAGGAATCCTTATACACTGTTGGTGGGAATGCAAATTAATACAGCCACTATGGAAAACAGTAAGGAGCTTCCTCAAAAAACTAAAAATAGGACTTCTATATGATCCAGCAGTCCCACTATGGAGTATGCACCCAAAAGAAATGAAATCAGTATGTCAAAGATATATCTGCACTCCCATGTTTATTGCAGCACTATTCACAATAGCCAAAAAATGGAATCGACTCAAGTATCTATCAACAGATAAGTGAATAAGGAAAATGTGGAATATATACACAATGAAATACTATTCAGCCATAAAAAGAATTAAATTGTCATTTACAGCAACATGGATGAATCTATAGCACATTATGTTAAACGAAATGAAAGACACAGAAAGACAAAAATCACATGATCTCACTCATGCGGGAGCTAAAGAAGGTGATCTCACAGAAGCAAAGAGTAGAATAGTGGATAGCATAGGCTGTAGAAGGGAAGTGTGATTGGGAGAGACTGGTTAACATGTACAGGGCCACAGACAGGAAAAATAAGTTCTGGTGTGCTACTGTGCAGAAGGGTGATTATCATTAACAATATTGTATGATATAATTTCAAAATATCTAGAAGAAGGGATTTTGAAGGTTTTCACTACAAAGAACAAATGAATGTGTGAGATGACAGAAATGCTAAATACCCTGATTTGATCATTACACAATGTATATGTATCAAGGCATCTCACTGTACCCCGTACATATGTACGATTATGTGTCAGTTAAAATAAAAATAAAAATTAATACAGGAAGAAGGGAGGAAGGGAAGGAGGAAGGGAGGACAGAAGGATGGAAAGCTCTCAAGGCTAGTCGAGCAAGTATTTACATCTCAAAAGAAATGTAAAATTTATAGTTAGCGGAAACTGAGAGATGAGTTAGATCAACCAGAGGGCATTTACTAGATGAGGAAACCAAGGCCCAGAGCTGGTCTTCTCTGCAGAGGCAGTGCTGACTGGAGGTAACTGAGGACAAAGCCTCAGGCCTTCCGTTCTCCCTTCCTGCTCACCTACTGCTCTCTACTGACCCACCCACTGCATCTCCCTTCACACAAAGAAAGCACCAGCATGAGGCACTGACATAGTGACAAGCCACACACCTGAGCAGAGTGGGCATGACGTACTTCAAGTTAGAGTTTAAGATTTCAGAAAAAAATCAATGCTCATCTTCTGGTTGGGAAGCTTTTTTTTTTTTAAGGCTCCCTCCCAGAAATCAAAGTGAACTTCAAAGAATATTATGACAGTCGATCACCTATCATATAAATCAGGAGTGTCCAATCTTTTGGCTTCCTTGGGCCACATCAGAAGAATTGTCTTTGGCCACACATAAAATACACTAACACTAATGATAGCAGATGAACTAAAAATTAAAAAAAAAAAATCACAAAAAAAAAACCTCAATGTTTTAAGGAAGTTTATGAATTTGTGTTGAGCCACATTGAAAGCCATCCTGGGCCACAGGCTGCCTACAGGCCACGGGCTGAACAAGCCTGATATAAATGAAGGGCGGAGATAAGCTGTTTTCAAATCTCTATTTCCAGAGGTTTACTCTGGTAGACATGGTGGCATCTTTTTATAGAGATAGCAAAAGTGTACTGCCCCTAACACAATACGGCAGAACAAGAAACAGTTACTATTCCTAATTAGAAACAACTTGACTGTCCAACACTAAGGGGCTTCTGCAATAAAGTATGGTGCAGTGATGTGTGAATTGAGATTGTATTTTCACATTGCGCAATGGTCACAATACAGATAAAACAGCTAAAAATTACTCACATCTCATGATATCATCTTTATTTTGTATGTACGTAGGTGTGTCTTATGCTATAAAAAAATACCAGAAGAGCTCATAAAGGAATTAACAGTGGCTTATGAGATTATGGCAATCCATCTGATTTCCCCCACCCTGCTTTTATGCACTGAACTTCTGTAATCGAGGAAAATAAGAAATGTAGTTTGTTGTGGGGGGGATCAGTTAATCTCTGTCAATATTCTATCAAAGAACAGCTGAAAATCTTCCATAAGCTATTACAAGAAATATATCACAAATACGTGTTTTGGAGACTGATTTTCCTGGGCTTGCTAAATTTCAGGTCCAGTTGTCATAGAACTGTGAAAAGATATGTTCCTGCAATCTATAAACAAAGAAAAATTAGTTTTATATCTCCCTGTCCAGTCCCTTTGTTTGGTCATATGGCTCACTGCTCTCATAAAAAGTAAAAGCAAGTATTCATGCATTAAATCAATCATTCAACATATTTGCATAAAATGGCTTATATATATCAGCTACAAAAGCAGGTAGCTGGTATCTGAAGATGAACAAATAATGGCCCTATGCTCCAGTTCACAGGCTGGTGGAGACAGCTCTGTGGAATAAATGCAATACAGAGAAACAAGTATAGCCTTGATGCTCTCTGAAATTATACATTCTTACTGAGGTAATATCCTACCACCCATATGGCTCTGAATCTCAAATATTTATATCTAGACATGTGCTCACTTTTTGAATTTTCAGAACCTATCAGTGAATTTGGCAGAAAGTAACAACTTACTAAATGATGAGTATGTAAATGACTAAATGAGCAAATATACAACAAGCTAGAAGAAACCCCAGCTCTCCAGAGGAATTAGCTTTGAAGGGGATTATTTTAATGAAACTTTTCATTTGAACATAACTATAGATTAACCTGCAGTTGTAATTAAATAATACAGAGCAATTCCATGGACTCTTTACCCAATTTCTCCCCATGATAACATCTGGCAACACTAAAGTACAATATCACAACCAGGACATTGACACAATTATCAATGGTATTGATATATATACATGATTCATTTTGGGCTAATTTTTACACAAAGTGTGAGGTTTAGGTCAAAGTACAGTGTTTTCCTAGGGATGTCCAAATGTTCCAGGACCATTTCCTGAAGCAGGTAGCCTTCCTCCACTGAATTGCTTTCAGGCTTTTGTCGAAAATAAACTGGGCATATTTATGGGGATCTACTTCTGGATTCCCTATTCTGTTCCACTGATCTCTGTGTCTAACCTTTCGCAAATGCCACAGTGCCTTCGTTACTATCGCTATAGCAGATAGGAACATCAGTTAAAGTGATCCTACTGACTAACCTCTTTTAAAATTTTAGTTATTCTAGAAACAATGTCTTTCCAAACAAAACTGAAAAACAGCTTGTGTATAAAAAAATCTTGCTGGGGCTGGGCACAGTAGCTCATGCCTATAACCCCAGCACTTTGGGAGGCTGAGGCAGGAGGAATGCTTGAGACCAGGAGTTTGAGATCAGCCTGGGCAACATAGTGAGACCCCAACTCTACAAAAAAAAAAAAAAAAAAATTTGCCAGGCATGGTGGTGCACACCATGTAGTCCCAGGCAAGAAAGAAAGAACGAACGAACAAACCTTGCTGATTCCAAAGGGAATAGTAAAGAAAAGGTGGGGAAAGTAAAGAAAGGGGTGGGGGAAGAATAACTGTACAATGGAGAAATCTGACAAACACTACACTGCCAGGTGATCAAAGTCAACATCTACAGTAATAAGTTTTGTTGATAGTAATGGACCCATGATACGCTGTGATGAAAATAATGGCCCTTTACAATTGTGATCCTTCCAAAAAAAAAAAAAACATATAACTCCAGTCTAAAAATGAGAAAAACATCAGAAAGATCCAACTGACAGACATTCTACTAAACACCTGACAGGTACTTCTTTAAATTGTCAAAGTCACCAGAAACAAGGAGAGTATAAGAAACAGTCACAGCCCGGAAAAGATTACTGACTAAATGTAATGTAGTATCCTGGAATGGAAAAAGGGTATTAGGTAAAAAACGAGAAAATCTGAATGAAGTGTGGATTTCGTTAATAATGTAACAATAGTGGTTCCTTAATTGCATCAAATGTACCAGGCTAATTGAAGACATTAGTAAAAGAGCAAGGGTGTAAAATACAAAGATTACTGAAATATTTATATACATTTCTAAAAAGTACTCAAGGGTTGAAAGTTAGTAAGTTTAATCATTTTAACTGTATCATCGAGGATGTTTGTAAGAAAAAAAAACTTTGCTGATATTTTCATATGAATTGAATTAAACCTACAAGTCAATTAGGGAAAACTATCATCTTCAGTATGTTGAGTTTTCCAACCTGTGAGCACAACGTGTCTCTCCATTTATTTAGATGCTTTTGCAAAAATCAGGTTTTTGTAATCTTCAACATACAGATCCAATATGTTTTGTTAAATTTATACCTAAGTATTTCATTTCCTTGAGAGTGATTACAAATGATATTCTGTTTGGAATTTTGGTTTCCACATATTCATTGCTAATGTAAAGAAATCTCATGGATTTTCATGTGTTGATCTTATATCCTGAAACCTTGCAGAACTCACTTATTAGTTTTAGGAGGGTGTTATGTTTTATTTTTGATAGATTACTTTGGATTTTCTATGTAGACAATTATATCATTTGCAAATAGACATAGTTTTCTTTCTTCCTTTCTAATCTGAATGTCTTTTATTTTCCTTGCCTTATTGCAGTGGCTAGAACTTCTAGTATGATGTCAAGACTGGTAAAAGCAGACATCTTTGTTGTTTTCCCAATCTTAGAGGGAAAGCATTCAGTCTTTCACCATTAAATATGAGGTTAACTTAGGATTTTTATAAATGTTATCAAGTTGAAAAAGTTTGCCTCTTATCCCTAGTTTGTTGAGAGTTTTTATTTGTATGAGTATTGAATTTTTCCAAGTGCTTTTTCTGTATCAATTGATATAATATGATTTTTCTTCTTTAGCCTGCTGATAATGGTAGATTATATTTATTTGTCTCCAAATACCGTAAAGACAAGTTTTAAAGGATAAAAAGAACTTCACCAGATATTCATAGAAGAGCATTTGTGTTTATTTGTTTAATGTCTATCCTTACTACATAACAAGAACCACGGTGGCACAGATTACTTATGTTTTATTTAGTACTATATACTTGAAACTCTGTCTCAAAAAAATAAATAAAATAAATAAATAAATAAGTAAGGAAGTAACACAACATACAAGTACACAGACATGAGTGTATATACATTTGGGAAATGGCCAGTAAGCCAGGGTAACAGCAGCAGAGATTGTGTTGAAGGAGTGGCCAGAAGCAGGCAGAGCTCCTATCTCACAGCACACACATACATCCATTCAAGATACAGCAAAGACCTAAATGTAAAGACTAGTGACCAAATGTGCAGCTTGTACAATAAAATATATGAGAATGCTTTCATACCTTGGAGTGGACAAAGGTTTCTTAGAATACAGAAAGCAGTAATCGTGAAAGAAAATATTGAGAGAATGGATTTTTTTGAAAACTAAAATCTTACATTTCTCAAAAGACATCTTTGGGAAAATGAACAGGGAAGCCAAAGACCGGCAAAGAATATGACACAAACTGACAGCTGGATATATGAAGAATTCCTACAACTCAACAATCAAAAGACAAACAGCTCAGTTAAAAACAAATCAATAAAAGATTTGAACAAACACTTCACCAGAGAAGATACAAAAAAGCTGATAAACACATGAAAAAGTGGTTGACATCATTAGTCAGCAGAGAAATGCAAATAAAAGCCAGTGGAATACCACTATTAGTTATCACCATCATTATTATTATTGTTCTTGTTGTTGTTCCAGTAGAAAAACTAAATTTAAAAAGACTGAAAACACCAAATGTCGGTGAAGATGTGGAACACGCAGAACTCTGATTTGTTGGTGACGTTGTAAAATGGTACAAGCTCTTCAGAAAAATGGCCGGCAATGTTTTACAAAGCTAAACGTACACCTACCGCATGATTCAATTCTAATCCTAGGTATTTAACCAAGAAAAAATACTCACAAGAAAAAGAGTTGTATATTCACTGCAACTTTATTCATAGCAGCCCCAAAATGGATGCAGTCCAGATATCCATCAACAGAAGGGTAAACAGTGGTATATTCATAAAATGGATTACACACACACACGCACACACACAAACTACTATACACACAACGTGGATGAATCTCAAATGGTCTCAAAAACATTTGATAAGTGAAGGAAACCAGACACAAAGAATATATATGACTCTCTTTATGGAAAGTAATAACAGATAAAACAACTTTTTTGGTTGGAAAAAAATCAGAACAATACCGACTTCTAGATGGTGTGAATGAAGACTGACCAGAAAGGGGCATGAGGGGACTTTTTGGGGTAAAGGGGATGATTAGCATCTTGACAGAAAGTTTAAATTGCAAAGATACATACTTTTGTCAGAACTTAATGAATGGGCCAGGCACACTGGCTCACGCCTGTAATCCCCACACTTCGGGGGGCCAAGGTGGGAGGGTCACCTGAGGTCAGGAGTTCAAGACCAGCCAGGCCAACATGGCAAAACCTCATCTCTACTAAAAATACAAAAATTAGCCAGGTGTGGTGGTGGGTGACTGTAATCCCAGCTACTCGGGAGGCTGAGGCAGGAGAATCACTTGAACCTGGAAGGCGGAGGTTTCAGTGTGCCAAGATTGTAACACTGCAATCCAGCCTGGGTGACAGAACGAGGCTCCATCTCAATTAAAAAAAAAAAAAAAACCTAATGAATGGTATAACTAAGGTCCGTGAAGTTCACTGTATGGAAATTTTACTCTAAAAAAAGAATTATAAATAAATGTTGAACTCCAGCTAATTAGTTATCATTATCTACATTTAGGAGGAATTCTGAAGCGTATTTGAAACCTATCAAAAAAAAAAGAATTGTTGGAGGATAGAGGGATAGACAGATGAATATGTGAATATAAAGCAAGTACAGTAATATGTAAATCGTAGAATCGAGGTGGCGGCTATACGAAGGTTAACTGTAAAATTTTTTCAACTTTTCCTGTATGCTCGAAATTTTTCATAATAAAATGTTGGTGGGAAAAGTAGGCACAGGATTGGATCAAGAATACAATGCTACACTCCGGAGCATGGATCTAACCCTGAATGTCAAATTTTCAAATCATGGGGCTCTATGGATACCTCAGGGGATGCTCAGGGGCTGAAAGTGAAACAGGCACATAGGGCTCAGTCCCTGAGGAAACCACAGCAATTCTACTTTATTTATTGTATAAACTGGCCCTTCATATAAAATAATTTTAATGACTCCAATGATGCAATTACACCCAAATACACAGAAAATCACCGCTGGAGGTGATGATGAATTTTATTCACCCAAGTACTATGGGCCTCAGTGAATAAAAACGTACTCATGTCTTCTTCAAGAATGGTTGATTATAATATGCAGAGTGGTTTTTCATATGATATGCCCAAAGAAATGGAACTCAGGAAAGAACATTAAAGATCAGCTGGTTTAATATCTTGACTTTACGGATGAGAAAGTTGGGTCCTGCGAGGGAAGAGACTTCTAGGTGACTGCACGTCCCTGATAGTCAGGGTGAGGTGGACAGGACGCCCCGGCCAGTGAGCACTGCTGCTCCAGGCCTGCTCTCCCACACCGCCATGCCCTGCCACCATCCCCAGTACTCCTCCAGAGTCTTTTAATGAGAATGGCTCGTGGTTTCTGGTGACAAGGCATTTGAAAAATAAGGTCTGTGCTTTATAGGACAAAATGCTTCAGAAACAAAAAGTCCATTCTCTTCATAACTGCCTGTGAAAGATTATAGGCCTATTTTCTGATTTTGACATTTATTAGAAATTCAAATTCTACTGTATAACCCAACAGGAGCTGTGGAGATAATTAATACAAATGGAAAATCTCAGGATAAAATGGGAGAATGGTGGAAAGGGAACATTCTTAAAGTTCAAGCCACTTTCCTGTGCCACTTTACAGCATTTAATTGTGGGCTACTCTCAAACACCAAATTCAAACACTAACCTGAAATTACTCTGCTCTCTAAATCTCTTACCACTCATCTCCGTTCTATTCTGAACAGACAGCACGTGGACTTCGTTTTACACATGCGCCTGAGAAGCTGTGGGTAAAGTGCCCCGTAAAGGAGACCTAGAACTGAACTTTTGCTGTAATCAAGATGCTGCTCTTAATTTACTGTACCTCGGGGTGAAGTGACACTCCTGCCAAACATATTCTGCTTAACTACCAGTTTCACAATCTCTGCAGTCCTGGGTCTTTCTGAGATTTTTCAAAATCAAAAATAGCAGCTTGCCTTTAAGATTTTTCACCTCTGTAGCAGATCAAAGAGGAACATCTCTAAAAGCTGATTACCTTCTTACTAACACCTCCAGCAAAACATCTGGTGGAAGAACAGACGCATAATAAAAATAATTATAATGGCGTTTTTTTTTTATTATACTATTATTTCTTTAGTCGCCAACCAGGCACTTCACATACATTGTCTCATCTAGTCATCATCATAATTAAAGATCAATATTACATTATAGAAAGGCAACACATTGGCCAGGCGTGGTGGCTCATGCCTGTAATCCCAGCACTTTGGGAGGCCAATGTGGGCAGATCACCTGAGGTCAGGAGTTCGAGACCACCCTGGCCAACATGGTAAAACCCCATCTCTACTAAAAATATAAAAAAATTAGTCAGGTGTGGTGTTACGCACCTGTATTACCAGCTACCCGGGAGGTTGAGGCAGGAGAATTGTTTGAACCCAGGAGGTGGAGGCTGCAGTGAGCTTGAAACCACACCACTGCACTCCAGTCTGGGTAACAGAGAAAAACTCTATTTCAAAAAAAAAAAAAAGAGAAAAGAAAGAAAGAGAAAACGAGGCACTGTGGTTACATAGTGAAGAAGCGGGACTGGCAAGCATCAGAAATCCAGATCTAACTCCAATTGCCATACTTTTTTCCACTGAATTTGGCTGACGGATAAATGTCAGTTATCCAAGCCAAGCAAGCTCACTCTCACTTCACTGCCTCTGGTTAGTGGAGCAGATTTTATCAGTTGGTGCAATGTGTCCTTTCATACACACAAAGGCTTCAAGGAGATGCTTCCATAACACACTGCCTCCTCCCTAAACCACTCAAGGTCAGTATAGACTCAGTTGCCTGCACTTGGCCTTTCAGCCCAGCAGGTTAGGGAGGTACAGTATACTCAAGAGGCCAAGGTGGATTATCCAAGACATAAAGAGAAGCAGCAGCAACGACTCTGAATGTGAAAAGGGGACATATCTACGTCAGGGCCTTCCTTCAGGTCAGTGTGATCTGTTACAAATCCCTGTCACTTCCTCTCTGGGCCTGTGTGCCTCCGTCTCCAGGAACCTATTCCTCTGCAGCAATGGTATTAGCAAGCAGATACGCCCACAGGTGATGAGGTCCTTGCCTCGGCCAACCTCTCTACAGGAAACAGCTGCAGTGGCTTTCCTGAATCACAGCTTCTGACTTAGATAAACTGGACCTGGAGGCCACTTGCTCTGAGGTCACCACATCGAATGCAGTGACTTCTGTGTCGTTCGGTGAACCAAAATCTAAGCATCCATTGCGGTGAACACATACCCAGAAACAAGCCTCCGAAGAGAAGCACGGAAGGCACAGCTGTCACGCCGCTCACAGCAAAGACAGAGGACACCTCAGAAGCAGGCAGTGCCCATTCTTAGCCATTGCCATGCACAAGGACCACTTATGGCTGTGGTTAGAATTTGAGCTAATTTGTTTTTATCTTTTAAAGGGACTGGGGAGGTAAACTTCATTTCTGAAATTCTCAAGTGGTAAAACTGACACTACAGACTTGGGCAGAGAGGCATGAATATTAGTACAGTAGACAGCTACCAAGACAAAGGTCCTCTCCCTCCCACAGGAGAATCCCTAGACAGAACCCATGTCATACCAGCTCATCCTCCACTTTCAGTCACGACACATTCCTGTTAAAGGTGATAAAAACTTAATGTACAGAAGTTCAACACTGGGTTTACATGTTCCAAAGAACTAAAAATGTGTACAATTTCTAGTTATAAAATGTATATTTTTATATCCAACTGTTATGGAATGCACACTTTTAAAACACATCAAGAATAACTGAAATGTAGGCCAGGCGCGGTGGTTCACGCCTGTAATCCCAGCACTTTCAGAGGCCGAGGCGGGTGGATCACCTGAGGTCAGGAGTTCCAGACCAGCCTGACCAATATGATGAAACACTATCTCTACTAAAAATACAAAAATTAGCTGGGCGTGGTGGCGTGCACCTGTAATCCCAGCTACTAGGAAGGCTGAGACAGGAGAATCACTGGAACCAGGGCGGTGAAGGTTGCAGTGAGCCAAGATCGCGCCACTGCACTCCAGCCTGGGCAACGAGAGCGAAATTCCATCTCTAAATAAATAAATAGATAAATAAATGAAATGTACAGTTTTGTCTACAGTAATAAACAACAGTTTTGTCAGCAGTAGTACCATCTCTAATCGGTAAAATAAATTATTACTACCATTATTAACTGTAAGGAGATATCAATGGTCATTTCATACAGATTAGGGCAGAAATGAGTGATGTAGATTTTAATGAGGTTTTGTCTGTTTTCTTGTAAGGCACTAGCTGCCTTCTGTCGATGACGGGCCTGTAGTAAGCTGTATACCTAGCGAATGGACCCATGAACTCTTTCCCAGTATTTGAGTTCCCAGGATATTCTGATAATAATTTTCATTTCATATTTTACTGATCTTTTCTCAATTCTCTCTCACTCCCTCCTATCACTTGGACAATGTAGTCTTGGAATTTGGGATATGTTTAATTTTCACCCCTTTGTGCACTGAGTAGATCAGCTTATATTCTTTTTCTTTTTTTTTTTTTTCTTAGACAGAGTCTCGCTCTTGTTGCCCAGGCTGGAGGGCAATGGCGTGATCTCGGCTCACTGCAACCTCCGCCTCCCAGGTTCAAGCAATTCTCCCGCCTCAGCCTCCCGAATAGCTGGGATTACAGGCATGCACCATCAAGCCTGGCTAATTTTGTATTTTTAGTAGAGACAGGGTTTTTCCATGTTGGTCAGGCTGGTCTCGAACTCCCGACCTCAGGTGATCCACCCACCTCAGCCTCCCAAAGTGCTGGGATTACAGGCAGATCACCTTATATTCTATAACTGGTCTAGTTGACCATGAGTCACTTAACTGTGTCCATCATTGTCTCAGTTGTCTGGCTGTTAGTATCAGCACTTAGAACATTTTACCATTTCTGTTCATTTTTAGAAACTAATATAAATAAATGCACCACAGTCTTCAAATAGTTGTGCAAATAAACACTGCTTAGCAAAGTGCAACTGTTGATTATTGTGCTTGACTGTAATGAAGTATTAGAATGTTTGTTCATCAGCTGATGCATGGAAGTCCCAATTAGGCCTAGAAAAGGTAGTTTGAGGATATCTATCTTTTAATATTTGAAAGTGCTGATTGCATGAAAGTCACACTGTCAAGTTGTGGAGAACTCATAAATAGCTAGCATTATAAACTTTAACTTGCTTTCTAGGTCTCAGTTCCCTCTTCTACAAGATGACCAAATAATCTTTATGATCTTTAAGATGCTTTCCAATATGATCATGTGATTCTACTTGGGCTACTCAGATCCTTACAAAGAAACTGAGTTTTCTTACTTCCACTGTAATTTGAACTGGCTTATATTACCTATCTCATTTTTTTCAGCTCAGGTAAGAACTGGAAATTATTTTTTTTACCTTCCTCTTAACTTGAATAATTAAAAGCAGCTTGCAGCAGAATATAAAGTTATGATAAAAATTAGCCAGATGCAGTGGCTCCCACCTGTAATCCTAGCACTTTGGGAGGCCAAGATGGGTGGATCGCCTGAGGTCAGGAGTTCAAGACCAGCCTGGCCAATATGGTGGAACCCCATCTCTACTAAAAATACAAAAATTAGCCGGGTGTGATGGTGGGAACCTTTATTCCTAGCTACTCCGGAGGCTGAGGCAGGAGAATCGCTTGAACCTGAGAGATGGAGGTTGTAGTGAGCCAAGATCACGCCACTGCACTCCAGCCTGGGCAACAGAGCGAGACTCTGTCTCAAAAAAAATAGATAAAATAAAATAATAAATAAATAAAGTCATGATAAAAAATAAAAACAAAGAGTCCCAAGTAGGGAAACAGAAATAAGAGTGGAAAATCAGAACCATACAACAGTATCGCAAATACATAGACGATTAGGGGCCTGTTGATGTTTTGCAGTGTAGGCAGGTCAAGAGCAGCTGGGACACTGATGAGGGAGGGGGGAGCTGTCAAACCCCACCCACTGTCTCCCAGGAAAAGTTTCTCACAGTTTTCTCAAAACAACTGCTCTCACAGGGAAAAAAAAAAAAAAAAAAAAAATATATATATATATATATATATATATATATATATATATATATATATATCTCCCCATGGCCACAGAGCAGGCAAATGAAAGTGAAACAACGTGTGCATATGAAACTCTGTCGCCCAGGCTGGAATGCAGCAGCACGATCTCGGCTCACTGCAACCTCCGCCTCCCTGGTTCAAGCGATTCTCCTGCCTCAGCCTCCTGAGTAGCTGGGATTACAGGCGCACGTCACCATGCCTGGCTAATTTTTTTGTATTTTTAGCAGAGACGGGGTTTCATCATGTTGGTCAGGCTGGTCTCAAACTTCTGACCTTGTGATCCGCCCGCCTCGGCCTCCCAAAGTGCTGGGATTACAGGCGTGAGCCACCGCGCCCGGCCTCCTCATCCATTTTGTGTCTTCTATTCCCTGTCAAGCCCCCAGGCAGATGGTTCCTCCTCCCCGCAACAGCCAATTCATTTACAACCATAGCAGCACCCAGGCAGAAGGGCAGAAGATGGCTTAGCCTTGACTGGAAACAAAAGGGAGCTCCCAGAGTTCCTACTGAAAGAAGCGGAAACCTTAATATAGCCATTTCCTGAGACCTACTTCCATCTTTGCATTTATTCTGTATCACCTATGGCACTGTTGATGCTCTAACATTCCTAATATTAGGAAAACGTAGGCTAAAAATGATTTTTTAAAAAACCAGAAAATTCTGATTGATTTTTAAGGAAAATCACTTCAAACTTTACGGGCTCGTGTATTTACATGAAGATCAGAGAAAAAAGGTGATTATTCTTACAAAAGTATTCTGAGACCTTAGGAATGAAAACACAGTAGGATTAACCTTTCACCAAGAGTAGACTTTAGTTAGAATTTTCTACTTGACCTAATAAATAATCAATAAACTTGAGCTATTTCTAGGGTATACGCACGCATCCTTCTGAACACATGCTGATGCTCCAAGTCATGTAACAAAGCCTGCTTCCTGGACATGTGGGGTATTGGACAGAGGCAAAGCCATGTGGAAAAACATCTCACAGGTGACTAGTTGCTACCTTATCACAAAGTATGGCCTCATCATTGCATAGCAAATGCATAGCAAAGCAGACTCAACATCAATTCTGGGTCACTGTGATAAGTAGATGTGAAAGGCACCTAATAAGAACTCAGTCAGTATTTGGTTGCTATTAATATCGTTATTGTTAAAGAAAAATCAAACGGAGGCCACAGTGTGGGCATATCCTTAGGCCAACCACCCATAGCCACATAAGAGAAACTTCAGCTATCCTGACTTCTCTAAAATGCTGGCTCTGGCCATAAACGAAACTTAAGCTCTCTGTCCTTGTCAGCATGATAAAAGTGAACCAACCATCTACAAGCAAATAAGCTTTTACAGCTCTGCTTGCCCTGAAAGGAATGTAAGATTATAATAACAGCAACAGAGATTAATGTACTTCTTCATTTATGCTTTATAAGTTGCTGTGAGCCAAGCTTCTTACCACTATCTGTTTGAAGACTCCTGGTTTGGCCAGGTGCTATGGCTCATGCCTGTAATCCCACCACTGTGGCAGGTCAAGGTGGGTGGATTGCTTGAGCTCAGGAGTTTGAGACCAGCTTGGGCAACATAGCGAGACACCATCTCTACAAAAAATATAAATATATAAAAAGTAGCCAGGCAAGGTAGCATGCACCTGTGGTCCCAGCTACTGCCAGCTGAGGAAAGAGGATCACTTGAGCCCAGGAGGTCAAGGCTGCAGTGAGCTGTGTTTCTACCACTGCACTCCAACCTGGCTGACAAGGTGAGACTCCGTCTCAAAAAAAAAAAAAGAAGTCTCCTGGTTTGTGAATTAATTTTTGGTATGCACGATAAACAAAAAATTTGCTAACTTGCCCTGATTTCATTTTTGACATTATCACTGATATTATTAAACATGATTTTAAATATAGTTATCTTTGAGCCAATTAGGAATATTTACTAGGTAAAATTGTTTGTTACTGAGATAACACTTTCCCAGTTACATGACAGTGTCTAAAACATTACACATTGGCACTAGGGTACAATATTTTTCATTAGAGGACATAAAATACTGACAGAGTAGTATAGCCATGCCACTGGACACAAAGTCCTGGCTTTGGCCACAGTTGTATTTTTATCATCTTGCATTTTTTCTGATCCTTTTGGTGTATTTTTAATGTTTTTTAATGTTTGAAATGAAAAAGCCATATAAAAATATAAACTTTAGTTTCAACTCGTTTTCACCAATAGCCACATATGACACCCATAAAAACAAAAAGCATATACCTGTACATATCTTGACAGTCGTTAATATATTCTTGAAAATAACAGTATATTGAGGGAAGGCTAGTAAATCTGGGGACTGTACAGGAAAATCGCAAGAAAACTGCATGTTCCAAGGCACTGAGCACCAAAGTACAGCAGCCCTGCACTCACTCGTTCAACAAACAAGGGTGATGCTAAGCACTGCAGATTCACGGAGAATGTGATATAGCCATGAAAACTGTGCCAAACTGTAAACACGTCTCACATACACAGAATGAAAGCTACAGACTACTAAATGCCATAGAGAATGCCATGAAGTGCCCTGCAAATCCAAGAACTCATACCTGAGATAATCAGAGAGTTCTATCAAAGAGGTAAACTTCTGTGCAGGTGGGTTGGGTGGGTGGGGAAAAGGGAGAGCATTTTAGAGCAGAGGAAAGAGCATGAGGAAAGTCACTGCGGTCAAGGCAACCTGGACAAGGCCACGTTCCATATGAACTCTGCTCAGGACTGTGGGGCATTTGAAAGGCTTTGCAAAAGACTGCTGAGGAGAAAAGAAAGACGACACACCTGCATCCAAGAAACAGTACAGAAAGGGAGACGAAAACACACCCAGAGAGCAAACAGATAGATGTTTTCAGCTTTAGTAAAAACAAAAGCACAATACACAATTCAGGAAATGAAAAACAGCACATCGTGAGAGCAAGTTAGTTAGTAGGAAATTCACATGAATAATTTTTTAAAAAGATAACTCTACCTGAATCTAGTGGAAAAAATCCAAACTATTTTATTCTATATAATCTATAGGTCTATTAAAACAACATCCATAAAAGTTGGGTTTTACTTTTGAATCAGTGAACTCATTATTTTTTCATTCTATGTTTCTCTTTCTCAATATAACCAAGTTTCCATCCAGAAACAGAAAAAGGACAAAAATATACAATTATCTATTTTAAAATCTGCTTTAAGTTTTCAAATCTACTATTTTAATAGATTTTCCCTAAAAGTCTAATTGTTCTACCAAAAATATGAAAAGATGGCATTACCACCTAAACTTGATGCTTTCCCAGAAGCCTTTCTTCACAGTAATTTGTGGTCTCTGGATGAGTTACAAAATCACTCCTAACAGCAAATAGGCACTTTACAGCCAATCATTTCTAAAATTTATAGGATTTTAGCCAACGTAAGAACATTAGACAGGCAGTAATGGAATGTGACCACTAGAAGGAAGAAACCAACATACTGTTTTTGGCCACAACACAATGGTATATCCTGAATGCTCAAGTGAATGAACTCATGAACTATTAGAACAAATAAAAGCTTGGTGAAGGGAATTAACTTACAATTTTGAGAAATCAACAGCTTAAATCCCAGCAATTACCAACAGTAAATAGCGAATAATGAAAAACATCCTTTACAATAACAAATACATAAAGGGGCCTATGTGAAACAAGTCACAAGACTTTATAAGAAACCACAAAAGAAAATTGGAATTTAAAAAGGAGATATTCCTTCTATGTGAAGATTGAATAGTATAAAATGCCGCTCTACCCAAATTATTTTCCTGGAATTCACAGTGAAAAGGTCTGCAGAAGAAAGAGGAAAATAAGGGGAACGACTTGTGAAAATGATTCCCAAGTTCGTTTGAAAGATTAAACAATTGACAGGAGCCAGGAATTTTTCTTAAAAAGGACAATGAGAGCCACAATAATGAAAACTAACACAAGACTTGACACAGCAAACAAACTCTGATATTTTAATTCTTTCTCACTCTCCATATATATATATATACATATTACATATATATTTACACATACACACACACATACATATATAATCTCATAAACCAATGTAGAAGGAATAAATTACATACAAAATAGTGTTGAAAAACTATTTGGGTAAAAAAAAAAAAGAAGTGATATTTACTTCCTGTCATGTGCCAAAATAGAATATACAGAGTTTTGTTACCTGTTTAAAAAGAAAAACAAATAAAAAATACTGGTAATTCTTTAACTGATTTTGTGTGAGGAATGACTGTTTTACAAAAGAAATTTAAAAGAAGTAAACAAAACCAAATGAAAGATACATACATTTGACCACATGAAAATTTAAAACTTCTGATGTTTACAAACATCAAAAACTTGCAAGGGTGAAAAAGAAATTGTGGGAAATATCTGCAGTGCATGAGGAAACACACGCATATATTTTCTTTCAAAAACTAATCTGAAAAAATAGGAAGAATGAATAAGACCTACTATTTGATAGCACAATAGGGTGAATATAGTCAGTAACAATTGTACATTTTAAAATAAAGGGTGTAATTGGATTGTTTGTAACTCAAGGATAAATGATTGAGGGGATGCATACCCCATTCTCCATGCTGTGCTTATTTCACATTGCATGCCTGTATCAAAACATCTCATGTACCCCATAAATATAAACACCTACTATGTACCCATAATTTTTAAAATTAAAAATTAAAAATAAATTTTAAAAAATCTGGACTTTTGAAAATAGGTTATCTGACCATAGGTTTATGAGATCCACATATGTAAAGAAAAGTCTTTGGTTTTAGAAACACTTTGAAAAGACTCATAGCTTCTAGTTTATATGGGTATAAAATAAAGTCACCGAGACTTTTAAAATCCATCAGACTGCCATGTCTCTGTTCTTCCAGAAAAAAAGGCTGTCTTATTTTATAACCCTGAAGTGATATATTTAGAACTAAGGTTTTTTTTTTCTCCTTTCTGTTTTTACCAAAAGCCAATCTTACCTTTCAGTTTATTTGTCAGATACTTTTAGTATCTGAAAAATAAAAATAAAACACAATAGGAAAAAATCCAGCTGAGAATTAATGGTTCCACTAGATTTATACCTCTGCAAATTTTCCTATTAAGTCTTAAGAGAGCTCTGTGCTGAAGAAACAGGTCCACTGCTCCTCTGAGTCTGCACTAGAAAGACAGTGGGCAAGTGGGGAGGCACCTCAGATTCAGCACAGGCTTAACAATAAAATCTATTCCTCTCTCTTCCCCTCTATACAAAGCAAAATATCCAACTCAGACGTACAAAAAGAACGGAATTAAAAGCACAGGTATCACTATCTACTACACATATCGTCCTGCTACTTGACAATATGACTAAATTAAAATGAGGCCTATGTTTACATATCAAATGTTAATAATTTTTCACTTTCCAATTGGCTAAATGTTTTATACCTTTTGATTACTGGTCACACAATTTCTCCAAAAACTTAAATCTCCAGTAATAGTGAAAAACTCATTTATGACACTCTTACACACTGAATCATCCAATAAAACTTGATTTCACCAAACAGCAGTGATAAAGTATTACAGAAAACTGATTTACATTACAACTAATTGCTAATTGCTCAATAACATGTTAATATTCACCTAAGAATATTTGTTCCCAAAAAAAGAGCTTGAAACAGTTTCTATCTGAATGATAAGTCTAACTAATCAATTCTACATTTCAATATTGGTAAAAAAACAAATAACATCAATATGTAAGTGCAAGATACCAAGATGAAAAAGAGTCCATCAATATAGTAAGCTTTCAATACTGAAGAAGAAACATCAATATAAAGCGCCTGTACAGTTAACTCTGGGTCCCTCCCTGGCACTTAATTCATTTCTTATTCTCATTTCCCTCTCTGTTTGTTCCTCTTTCAGGCCTGGGCTGCTAAACAGATCACAAAGAATCAGATGGGAGCAGAATTGAAACGGATATGGGCTTTGTAAATACAAGAGTCACTTAAAGCAATGAAAATCCTGAAGTGAGAATACTGATTGGGAAGTAAAAATTCAGACAACACCTTTCTAGAGTACAGTCATACGCTGTCAGGGAACTAATGCTTTCACAGGTCAAATGTCAAGAGATGGTGACACACCTTAGAAGCCAAATTCAGTTTCATCAACTTAAAAGAAACCATCAAACCATCATAGAAACCATCAAAATATCAGATCCCAACCTTAATTTATGGATAGAAAGCTTTGCTTCTCAAAACAGGGCTTGCCTACACATGGAGCTGGGAAGCAGTTGTTCTACACTGCCCCAAGATAAACATGGCTGATATGCCAAGACTACACATTTTGACAGAATAATATTTTTATTCCTGGAGAGATAATATTTTTGGATTGTTTTCCTGATATTAAGTGATTTATAATTATTTTATGTTAAAGACAAATGGGGAAATATTACAGAGGAGAATAAAATCATAATTTTTAAACTAAATCCCCAAAACTATTACATATTTCACAATTTACATCATCATCTTGTATGTATAAGTATACATGCCCATCTTCCACCACACTTGATTTTCAAACAAACATTAGCAAACTGCTGTGCACCTCTTCTTGTCTGGTAAGAATTAATACTCATGACCTTCCACAGCAGTACAGTAGTGCATAGCGATCTACCTCATTCTTTTCAATGGTGCCAAGTATTCCATCATACAAAAGCCCATGTTTACTTAGCTGTTTCCTTACTGATGAACATTTGTTTCCAATATTTTGCTAAAATCAGTAACTCTATAAAGGAAATACTTATGTCTTTTCATACAGAAGCAAGCATTTTTAGAATAAATTTCTGAAAGCTGAATTGCTAGTCAAATGGTTTGTGCGTTTTACATTTTAACAGATAGGGCCAAATGGATCTCCTAAGAGGGAGTGCGCCAGTTAGGACTCCCATCAACAATGTACGAGTGCCATACTCCCTGCACCCTTTGTACCACTGTGATTAAACTATTTTACCGCTACACTGCCAAGTAGTTTTACTACAATAGTTGCTGTACACTAAGTGATAATGCGAGAGGACTTTTAAAAAAAGTCCTACTTTCCAAAATACTGTTGTTTAAATCATCATCATCCCTGACCACAAACATTTTAAATGTATGAAGCCAGAGGGCCACCATATTCATAGGGAAACATAAATACATTTCCAAAAGAGCATATGATTAACAAGAGGACAGGCATCAAGTCCCTTGGAGGTTTAGGAGGAAGAACAGCACATGTAGAGGATGCCAGAGGAGGCATTCCTGGAAGAGGTTGAGGTTCCAACTGGATATTTAATGATGAGTCACACTGGGAGAGCCTGAAGCAAACAGGGATGATGCAGTAGATGGTAGATGATGTACAAAGTGCACAACGGCAGAGCTCAAGTCAATAGAGAATTACATGGTAAATTATAGGTCTAACACCTGGCTAGCGACTGCCCAAAATACAAACAGGCCAGTCAAACAAGAGAATCAAAACAGTGGCCGGAGTACAGTTTTTAAAGTGTAGGAAACTCAATTATACTCAGCCACCACCAATTCAGAAAGACACCTGCCTGCCTCTGCTCAAGGTGAATAAATCCTCAGTGTCCGGCAAGGTAGGAGGTTCCTCAGACATGTCCATACTATCTAAAATATCTACTTAATATGATAGCATTGCTCAAAATAAGTAAGTCAGAAAATAACCACAACTTTCCCACTTCATGTTTTATAATCTAGCTGGTCATTACAGTTCAGTCATTTCAAACTGGAAGAAGCAGCACACTCCAGCAAAATAAAGGAGTTTTGAAAGAAACAGTCCTGGGCTCAAATTCTGACTGCATCTTGACTAGCAAATTCATTCAACCTCTTAAAAAATCACGATGTCCTTATCTGCAAAATGGTCATCAAGGCTACTCAGATGAAATGGGATAGGTATGAAGCTAGAGGGCCATAAGAGACACAAGTCTCTTTCTCCTCCCTGTCCATCTATTTCAAGTAAGACCAAAATAAACAGTATTGCTTAATTATTGACTGTTCCCAAAATCTTTTAGTTTTCTAATTTCACTGCCATAACTCCATTAAAACAGTAAAAAAGTATTTGGTGATGAAAAATGTCAAGGCGATTCAGAAAGCAGAATGGTACACTTTAGAGGTTACCAATGCCAAGACAAAATATTATGGATTAAATTCAAAAGATCATATAAGAAAATCAATATTAGTATAACATTCTTGATTTGGTCTATAAACCTAAGAGCTGGGTCAACTAAGAATAACTCATTTTGCTCAATAAAAACCAATGTTCAGTATCCACTCTTCTCTACTCCTTAATACTGAGCCATTACCCTTTTAATGCGGTTCATCCTTGTCTTGATTCTAATGACCCTCCCATGAAAGCGTTTGCCCTATGTGTCCTGCACATATCATCACTAACCCCCTGGGCACAATATCATGTGCAATATACAGATGACTGGTGTTGAAACCACATAACATTGCCCTTGTTTTATTTGTTTCCTCTGACTCTGTAACATCTTACATCCAACATAAATAGGTGTATACCTTCAGGTGTATTAACAGTAAGGTTCTCTGAGTTAGCGTGATTTTAAATAAAACAAGTGATGTTAATCGGAGTAACTCAGCTACTTTAGGTATAATATCAATCACCAAAATCAGCCAAAAACTGCTAGAGTAACATCTTCCAAACTCACATAAATAAATCTGCCAGCTTCTTAACATTCCATGCTTTCCATTAGCCTTTCTATGGCTCTGCTCATTTCTTTTTTATAACCATATACTTCTTTCTATTGATTCTTAGCACTTCATATATTGGCAGGAAACTATTGCCAGCCTAATGTCATGCATTTATGCAGTGCTTTCAATTAAGTCATTTTGGAACCTCCTTAGCATTCCGCTGAAGATGATGTGCTATGCCCCTGCAAAGTGCGTGGCTTCATTCTTCTTTATATTTCCAGCATACAACCCACTGCTTGCTGCACACTGGGTGCTCAGTGTCTATCACTGGAGCAAGATGAGAGCATGTCTCTAAAGTTACACAGTCCTGGGTCTGAATCTCAGCGCTGGTACTTCCCAAATTTAACCTGAGGCTTGGGCAAATCATGTGACCTCTCAGGGATTTAGTTTCCTGTCTGAAACTAAAGGGGATCAGGAATATCTATTTCATTGACTTTCTGTGAAAACTCAATGAAATAACATATTTACCGTGACTACTAGAGCAGCTGTGCCATGGCATATTAGGGCTCAGGAAATGGGAGCCAATTCACTAAACCATGCACATATCCTCACTCAAGTTCTCTTGGAAATCATAAATGATCTCAGCAATGTCGGGCAATAGGTTCAGAGTAGGGCAGTAGGTTCAGGGGTAAAACCCTCTCTCCAAGACCAGCGACTATAGAGGTGTGACCCCAGGCCCCAAGCAGCAGCTGATGCTCTCTGAAATTCACTTTGATAATGCTGAATTATTTCCCACACATTGTTTTTAGTCCCATTCTGTCAGTGTTGACCTCGCTCTGCCTTTCAGACTCAACCCCACTCTGACCCAGTAACAATACCAGCTGAGGTGAAACTGGGCTGGCTAATCCCCAGCTCTCCCTTACACATGTCCATCTTCATATCAAACCTTTGTTATTGCACTATTGGCAATAATAGCACCAGGGGAACTAGAGACAAATGTGAACAAGACACCAGGTAAGTTAACTTATGTGATCAGATAGGAGAAAATCCCAGCCACCAGAACACTGTGATTCAAATCCCTCCCTGTGGCCAGGGAATCCCAAGGGGTATAACTTGGCAGGCTGGACATGGGACATGTGAATGCTCCCAGAGATGTGATCCACGGCTCCGGTTAATCTCTCATTATGAAGATCTAAACACATAGCACTTTAAAACTACAACTCATTAGTCAGGCAAAAACTCTTTGAATGAGGTAACATTAAAATGAAAAAGGCCATGATTAAGACAGCCAAGCAAAATAAAAGAGAAAATTAAATCTGTTAAAGCCCATCTAAGTAAAATACTGAAAATATCATAGAAATAGACTCAAAAAAATATGTAGAATAAGACCATCAATCTTTTTTTTTTTTTTTTTTTAAACGGAGTTTCACTCTGTCACCCAGGCTGGAATGCAGAGGTGCAATCTCAGCTCACTGCACCCTTGACCTCCTGGGCTCAAACAATTCTCCGGCTTCAGCCCCGCAAGTAGCTCGGACTACAGACCATACCACCGCACCTGGCTAATTTTGGGGATTTTTTTGGAGATGGGGTTTTACCATGTTGCCCAGGCTGCACTAGAACTCCTGAGTTCAAGCAATCGTCCTGCCTTGGCCTCCCAAAGTGCTAGGATTACAGGCGTGACCCACCCCACCCAGCCAAAAATTATTGAATTAATGTCTACTACAGTAATATTTACTCCTGTAGAATTTACAAACTACATACTCAAATACATACATATTCTGACTCCTCAACTTTAACTACCCCATTAGAGAAGAGTGAACGAATATATCTCTGGGGAAACATGCATAATCCAAAGGTATCTGTTAATGAACATAAAATTTCACTGATGCCACCTGTTTGTGAATCATTTGCTACTCCATAATATTCCTGCATTCATTTTAATTTCCTCCAAAGCTGAGTGAGGTTAAAACTCCATGAAGATGCGCTACAGTTATTCTCCTAGCCTATATCATACCATGTAGGAGGCAACACCCCACACAGTATCCTCAATGTTCCTGGGGTACCCGTGGAGCCAGCATAAGAAACACAGCTTCCTCTTGGGATACATAACACTGAGCCAAATGATGTCACCAGCACAGAAGCAGCATACGCTACACCTACATGGCGAAGTAGGTCTCAGAGATGTTCAAAGAAAGGGAAATCACAAAAGAAAAAAGTGAGGATGGATAAGACTTAGAAGACAACACTATACTACACTCTGATATAATAATATCTATATATATATATTTGCTGACTGTCCCAGGTTCCCATCAAGGGGCTCCTAAAATTTCTGTGGTATCTTGATTGATAGGGATAATAGGAGCAGCCTGTGTTCTAAAATTTGATGTTTGTCCCCTGTTCCTGATTGAGAACTCCTAAATCCCGTAGAATTTCTAGGAAGCTAGGAGTATATTTTGTTCTCATGAGGCCACTCTTGGTGACCCATGAGACAGCTTCAGGATGGACAAGGGTCTCCAGAAATATCACAGCAAGAACTGAGGGCCTCATGAACAGAAAGGGGAAAGGAGCTGGAGATTAATTAAGGCAATGACCAATAGCCAATGATGTAATCTATCATGTCGATGTAATTAAAGCTCGATCAAAACTCCTGAACCACAGAGTTGAGAAAACATCTTGGCTGGTGAACACATCAAAGTGCTGGGAGAGCAGTGTGCCAGGAGACAGCATGGAGGCATCACACCCAGAGCACTTCACCCTGTGTATCTCCTCCTGGGTTGTATCCTTTATAATAAACTGTTAATAGTAAGTACGATGCTTTCCTGAGTTCTGGGAAACCTTCTAGCAAGTGACCAAGGGGACCCCCAATTTATAGCTGGTTGGTCAAAACTGCAGGTGATAACATGGGATTTAACTGGAGATTCTACTGCGGGTAATCTTGAGACAGTTTTTAGCCTGTGGGGTCTGGGCTAACCCCAGACAGTGTCTGAACTGAATTGTAGAACACTCAGTTGGTGCCCAGAGACTTGGATGATTGGTTGACATAAAAAAAATTTAAAAACTCATACATTTGTTGTCACAAGTTTTATTAAAAACAAAACAAAACAAAAAAACAGGTTGAAAGCACATCAACCATGCCACGGCAACAAAAAGACAATTGAAAAATACTGGTGAATTCATTCCAGATCTCAATCACCATTCACAATTGTGAACCATCACTCTGACATTGGGAGAAACTGAATAAGATAAAGCACATGGCTTGTTTTATAAATTGATATGCTACATTAGCTTTAAAATATTTTATTACATGGCTTACCTCACAGTAAATAAGGATTGCCTCCAATCAACTTGTTTATAAGTTGGTTGGTAGCCACAGTTTCTTTTTTTTTTTTAATATAGAAACAACACTAAGCAGAGACTTTAGAGATCGAGCAGGCTACACTATCACTGAAACACAGCACTCTAATACCACAGAACCTACCCACCACACAGAAGAGGACCACTTTGGAAAGTTATAGAGATAAGACACTTCACTCCCTCGAACTGCTCAGCCACGCTAATCCTTTACCTCCGGCAAAGATTTACAAGGTCATGTCTGGGGAAGGAGTATGAAAAACGAGCTCTTTGGCACAAAACTGGGCAAACTGCAATACGAAATAACTCCATTATTAACAGGTTAAAAGCAGAAGGTTCCAGGACATGGGGCTGCAGAGAAAAAGTCTACATGTTAGGTTTTTTTCTTTTATTTTTAAGGACCTCTTACTTACAAGGCCTTCTTGCTAGGAAGAGATTCCTAACTCAATTTGCCTTGAAATCTTAAAAGTCAACAGGGTTAAGGTAGGAGTCACCGAGATACCATAAATACGCTGCCATCAGTCCTCCTTCAAACCATACAGTAACACCAATGAAAAGATGTAGCCTTAGTGGATGTCGGAGACATGATGGACCAGAGGGATCAGCTTAGGAAACAGAGGCAGAGATTGGCCCCCATCATATGGGAGCTCAGGGGCACAGAGCTCAGCCAGAACCTGCGTCTTCTGAATCTC
The DNA here is from genome assembly GCF_000001405.40 of Homo sapiens. Classification (NCBI taxonomy): domain Eukaryota; kingdom Metazoa; phylum Chordata; class Mammalia; order Primates; family Hominidae; genus Homo; species Homo sapiens. The sequence continues at coordinate 5,328,476 of NC_000006.12, read as the reverse complement.
AAGCTGTTCATCTTTCATGACATGACACTGCTAATGAGGAGCCTATTTCAAGGTCTTAGTGTTAAAAACAAAAAAACAAACAAAACCCCCTAACTTTGTATCACTCATGCTTAAAACTCATGGGAGAGCATAACCGTAAAATTATAAAGAATATAAAATTATTCCCTAGACCAACATTCTCAACCAACAGGGGCAATAGTGCTTTGGGGGTAAGGGTAAACAAGGAGGGAGACTGAGCATTCTCTTGCTAAAATTAAAATATTTTCCTAATTCCTTAAAAATAAACCAAAGCTAACATGTAGATTCTAAATGAATAAATGACTTAAAAGCAACAAAAACAAAAGGTATACATTTAGTTATCAAAAATCTATTAAGATCAGTATTTTAAGGTGAATGCAAAGAATGACATGAATTGCAGGTACTCTTTTACTGTTTGACAACCGGTCTTCCTACTCTCCAAAAAACCTATGAAGGGGTAAAATTTCCCCAAAGGGTATTGAAAGTCATCTGTACACACCAGTAGTCAGCATGTCATTTCAATAATGTGCAGGACAATATCAACGTCCAGTGGAACCCATCAAGTGGAAGTCAACACAGGGTCAGTGGCAGAGAGGGTTAAGCTGTCCCCTTTCCTGTACTATCTATTCTCAAGTGAGGCAGGTGGTAGACTACTCACTCCAGGATAAAGGGTAAGCAAGGAGAAAAGGAAGGAAAGATAAACTCAGCTCCAGTGGTACACTGTAAACCCTAACGGCAATGTATTAGTCTGTTCTCACAGTGCTAATAAAGACATACCCGAGATTGGGTAATTTATAAAGAAAAAGAGGTTTAATGGCATCACAGTTTCACATGTCTGGGGAGGCCTCACGATCATGGCAGAAGGCAAAGGAGGAGCAAAGGTATATCTTACATGGTGGCAGGCAAGAGAGTGTGTGCAGGGGAACTTTCCTTTTATAAAACCATCAGATTTCATGAGACATATTCACCATCACAAGAACGGCACGGAAAAACCTGCCCTCATTATTCAATTACCTCCCACCAGGTCCCTCCCATGACACGTGGGGATTATGGGCTACAATTAGGGATGAGATTTGGGTGGGGACACAGCCCAACCATATCAGGCAAGCTTCACATAATCTCCAAAATCTATAGTATAGCCTTTCCTAGATGTTTCAACTCTTCATAAACCAATTTGACAAACAATGTAGATTTTGTATTGAATAGCAGAATTAAAGTAGAATAATAACTGTTAGCATTAGCACAGGCCTATAAAATGAAAGATAATAAATGTTAATTTCTTTTCCTTCCTTTTTTGTTAGGGGGAAGGCTGATTCAGCCAAAAGTTATGAAGGTACAATTTCCCTGGAATTTGTAAATTGAGCTATCACTCCAGCATAAGGAATCACGCCTAAGGAGCAGCTATTGCCAGCTCCATTGGTGAGCGACCTAAGCTGATTTACCATTACCATGATTATGGTTTTAGAAATCTATTCAGTGATTCACACGTTTAATGTCCTTAATGCTGAGGTGGGCTACAACACTGGTTAGCTGCACTAATTAGTTGAATAGAAGAGTATTTGAAGTTATTTGAGGATTATATGTAAATTAATGCTAAGTGTATGTAAATAGGTTTCTAATTCCAAATATTGCCTCTAGAAAAAAAAATCCACAGCACAACTACCTCATGCTCCCCACAACCCACTGTGATGACCATCTGATGACACTGGCACATGGAGATGCCATTCATGATGACGGAGCAAACCCTGCTGCTCTGAGGGCATCAGGTCACCCAGATGGCCACCAGGCTCCAGTGGTGTTCCTGAAGGGGGTGGAAGGAGAAGGCTGCTGCTCCTGGAACTCGAAGCTTTAACGAAGGTGACACAGGAGGGAGCCCCAGGCCACTCAGTCTCTAATCCTGGCTGGTGCCAGTCAGGGCGGGAGACCAGACCTGCCCTGGCTAAATACCTGTAGGTGGATCTCGGAGCAGGCACACCAAGCCCTGGGGACAGCAGCCACATGGGCCAGCCTCTGTCTGCAGAGCTGACACAACTGCTGTGTGCTGGACGTTAATGATTTGCTTCAGGGAAAGACAAAGTGGATGTTCCTCACCAAGTGTCAGGGCCCCTGCACTAGAATCTGTGACTGTTCTACTCAGAACAGAAGAAATGTCCTTTCAGTCACTAGCCAGGTACCTTGAGCTTGCTCTGGGGCTATGAATAAGCCCTAAATCCAGTGAGTTGCACATCAGAGGGAACAGGAGGCAAAGCAGGCTCTCCACTGACAGCACAGGAAATAAATAACGCTGCATTCAGCCATATTGGGCCAGTCTCCTTTGGGGTTTGTCCATTTATCTTAGGATGAGTTAAGAAGAAATTCTTACGTCAGAAATTGAGTGTGCATATTCTAAACTGTCATCACACATTGCCAAACATTGTCATAAACATTGTCCCTATAAATGCCCCCATTAACAATATATGAGAAGGTACTTTTCCCAGTTCCTTCCTGACATGGTATATTGTGAGATTTTCCATCTCTGCCAATCTGATGCTTAAAAATGTATGCTTTCATATTTATTTATAATATTAGTGATGCTTAAAATTTTTTTATTCAACTTTGGTACTTACTTTTTGTTAACAGCCTATCCTTGACATTTTACTACTACCATGTTGTTTTCTTATCAATTTATCCATCATATATATTGCAAATATTTGGTAATTTCTCTTTCATGCTTCCTTATGAAACTTAATAATAGAAAAAAATCATTTAAAATTTTCATCAAAAAGGATAAATTGAAGCATGTTCATAAACAAGTACACCATTTTTTCATGGCTAGCTTGATAATGGATGCAAGTAATTCTACCTGAGACTTGTTTAGGAGCCTGCTGCTTCAGCTGTAGGAAGATTACTGGGCCCTACGATATACTACCAGAAGTGTTTGTGGCTTCTGCTCTTCAGCAACTAAGTGATTCTTTGTGCTTGAAGCTTGGAGGCTGCACACAGCTGAAACCAGCCCCTGCACAGACAGGCAGCCCAGGCAGCAAAGCACTGGGAACCATGCCAGTCCCTGCCGCCACTGGATGGCAGGAGGGGGCAGTACTTAGCATGCCCGCTAGGTGCACTTAGCACCAGGGAGCAAAATTAGTGATGCATTGCTTTGGCAATTTCCTTACCTATGCTATGCAAGCTGGAAATGGATTTCCTTCAGGTGCTCTGGCTCACAGGATGTCAGCAGTTCCTCTATCCTTTGACTCAGGAAAAGAAAGTAGATTTGAGAAGCACCCACCAGAGCTCCCAGCTTACAAGGGGGTGAGGGATCCAGAAGGAGCTGCTCTGCCGTGCATCTGTGGAGTAGCCAAGCAATGTTCAGCCATTCCCTCCTAACTAAAAAGACCGAACAAAACCAAAAAGGAAGGTTTTAAACACTGAAAGCCTTTTTTGATAAATGGTGAAATTTCTCAAAATCTGCCACCATGAGGTACATAGAAGTACAAGGAACCAGATGTGTTTGCCAGAGCTTGCTAAAAACTCTTTCCTGCGGCAGGGATGGCATGTCTCTCAACATGATGCTCTCAGGAGGCAGGGATGAGACAGAGGAGGGATGGGATCTGTTCTTGGTGGACAGCCATGTGACTCTCTCTCCCTGCACAGTGTGAAGTACACAGTGACCTTGGGGCACTTCTTCCTAGAAGGGGACTGAGACTCAGGGGCTGCCAGCCAAGCCCGGAAAGGCTTCAGTCCATTGTTCATTTCATCAAGTTGTGGTAGTAAACAGCTGAGTTTTTTCAAACACAGTTTATTGTATATTTATGCTTAGAGTATGTGTACTGTTCATACATTGGTAAATGGAAATTTACCTCACAAAAGGGCTCAACTGTTTCTTCACTGACATTTTCCAAAAACTTGCAAGAAGCAGACCAATAAGTGAGAAAATAAAGGGATGATGGTTGAAAGGTGGGGGGATCCACATTTTCCCAGAATAGTAGGATGGAATTGTAACCAACGTCTTGGTTAAAAAAAAAAAAAAAAAAAAAAAGCAAATAGTCTCTTTCCCACAATAATACCACAATCCCTAAAAAGACCAGTAATTGGCAAGTAAGGAAAGAGAAAGGTGAAATAGATTATAAATTAATTGATACAGCAAAACAAACAAAAAAATCCCAGAAGTAAATTCCCAACCAGTTTCAAGCAGGTGAAATGCATATGCATGATTCTCTCTCTTCTAAATAATTTTACAGCCCCACACAATAGAGTTTGTCACTACTGTAAGAGTTAAAATAAGAGGAAAGAAACACGAATGGCAGCTTGACAGTTAAAGACCGGTTTACTTTAGATAAAACCTGAGAGGGGCTTCTGGCTGATTTCAGTCAGGAGCGCTTTCTCTTACAGACTAAGAGTACATACTGGTTTTAGGGTGAGGGGGCTTTATCACAAGCTTGGCATGTTTCCATGTGAGGGAGAAGTTTTAGGACAGGGTTGGAATGTCTCTGGGAGGAGGGGAAGTTATCTTGGGGGCTGGCATCTTCCCGGCTGGAGGGAGGTTATCTTGGGGCTATAATTGTCTCTGGTCAGGGAGGAGTTTGGAACGTTTCTGGTTGAAGATGTTATTTGTGGTTTATGGTCATGCTGACCTTAGCCATTAGGGTGATACCCTTTGGATTTAGGCGGTTTCTGATCAAGGTGAATTTTAAAATGACAGTGCTTGTCCAAGATGGTAATACTCCTGCTCTGTCAACTACAGAACCAGGATCAGCTCTGGAAAGTCCTTGAGGAAGCCAGCTTCCCTCCAGCTCTTCCCTCAGGCCCAGCAGGAATGAGTCCTTCCGCCACTGGGTCATTCTATTCTGTCCTCTCAGTTGGTGGTAGAAATCTTGGTAAGATTCTGGATGGCAGCTCCTTTACATCCTAATTGTCATATTTTAACAGAAACTCATAATCAAAAGTCAAGACTTAAAAGCCTAAGTCTCTAATTGTATAATCTGAGGTACAAGGAAAGCAGTAGGAGGTTTTTTCAGCATCTCTCGAGTCATAATACAAAAACAACCCAGGCTTCCTAAGGCCAACCCTCAGTGTCTCTATTGTACAAAGAAGGTTAAGTCCAAGGTGTCATAAAAGACAGGTTTATGCACTATTATCCTCCGTCCAACAAAGCTCTCTCACTTTAAATGACCCAGTCGGTCTTTAAAATAAATAAATTATGGAGCATAAACAAAGAAAAACTTTTTTGAGAGGGAAAATTTTACAGATCAGAGAAAAATCTAGAATCTTTGCATCTTTTAAAAAATAAATTATATGCCCTATAATATCCAATATCTATTTCTATGAGTATATGATGAGTACTTCCAAAATAATTAATTTTCCCCTCAAAATGTATGGATGCTTAATAAAAAAATGATTAAAACCTGAAAACACAGATTTAATTGTTATTAAATTGATAAAAGTAATAATGCATTAGTTGCTTCCAAAAGAAAGCTTTCAAATAAAACAATTGTTTTTGGTAAGGACTGAAGATGGGAGCTATCGCTGTGAAATGATGAAACTAATCAGAAGAATCCACGCATTGATCAATAACAAAGAGGGTAATCAGATGTCCAGGAATACTCACTTATCAAACTCTAATAATCACGGGAAGCATTTCTGAAGCTTTCCCTCTGAACACAAGTTTTTGTGTCTCAAAACAGCAGACAAAATCAAAACCAAAATAAACACCATACAGAGGAAAGTGAATCCTGCTTAGGCAGGCAATAAAAGGGAATTAGCGCCCAAAGGTCACGTCTCTGCAAGCCCCACTGTCCCTCTGTGTGACGGCTGTCACCAGAACACCAAGGGTCCCACTCAAGAAGATGAGCCCTCCAGGACCCTCACCTTACTTCCCACCCTATTATAACCAAAAGGAAACAAACCAAAAAAAGAAAAAGAATACATGCTAAAGCTTCAGTCCCTCACTTAATGCATCCAATGCATTTAATTGTAAATTCAGCCAATGGAAACAATCTGCCTTCATTCTGGTTAAAAAAAAACTACTCAATGAGAACATGCTCAGTGCTTCCTCATCATATCACCAGGGACAAACACTCTTCATTGTGGTTCATAACCAACTTTTCTATACGTTGGCAAACATGAATTTGTTTTTATAAAAGAGAGATATACTCTGTACTTTTATAATCTAACTTTTTTAACTATCCAGTGTTATTAAAATCATTTTACAATTCTTGGAAACAATTTCAGTGGCTACCTAATATTAAGTCAAAACAAAATGACAGTTTATTTTATCATTTCCCTATTGGACATTTAGGTTGCTTCCCATGTTAAATTTATATTTATGTGACTATTTGATGAAAGCTTGCCTGCCTCATCACATTGTAAACACGTGTTTGTTTTTGGTCACCATTATTGTTCATTCTCTAGCGATACCTAAAATATAACAGGTACCAGTAGCATGTGGTGAATAAATGAACCTTCCCTTCAATTCTTGCTTCAAACCAGCCTCATCTACAAAAGGTTTTAGCACCAAGAGCTGGTTGAAAATAATGTAAGACATAACTTATGTCCCACCACACCATAAATTGTGAATAGCTCTACTCTGTGTGTGTCATAACACCCATATGAAAGCAGGTGATCAAGTATCTAGTTAATCTTTACTAAAGATTCCGGGAAACGGCTACTTGACTTCCTAAAAGCAATCAATATATAAGGCAGATTTAGTGGATGAAGAAGGAAAAGGTAGCATCTGGAGGTTCCCACATTTAACCAGATTTGATTGTAGAGACAATCTTTTAAGCACTTTATATGGTACATTTCTATATGGATGAAAAATGACGCTAGGATATGAATTAAAACATAGAAGACACCTACCGAATGGGGATGAAGTAGATACAACAAAGCTTAGTGCAAATATCCCTGTCTGAACACTCTTACCTCTTCACCCCTGCACAGTCCTAACCTTGTCTCCTACAAGGCACAGAGGCCACACTCAAATTATGACAAGAGGGAAAGATAAATAAACACAGGCAGGTTTCCCCCAACACATCCCACAGGCGACACTCCATCCTCTGCTCACACTGTTTCCTCCCCTCTTCATGCAGAAGCCCCACCCATCCTTCTAGATCTACCTTAAAGGCTACGTCTACAAACAGTGCAAGAACACATCAAGCCCAATGCACCATCTGCCATCATGTGTAAAGATCTTTTTACCCATAGGATTTTAGAAGTCTAAGCATCATGAAAAACACAAGTCAAATACTTACTGAAATTAACACCTGGAAGGTACATAGTGACATCAGGAGAGTAACTGGGGCAATGATCACTTTGTACAAGTGACCCAAGAACAAAGCCTTTATGGAATTGGAGAAATCTATAACTTTTTTTATTGCTTCGATGTCTAAGAGAAGGTCAGATCCTTTCTAAATGACCTGCCCTCATTGGTAACCCTGACATTTCCAATATAGTTGAGAGATGAATCTTATGTAACTTTCTCTTGCAAAATTCAGCCAGCTTCCTGCTGTGGTCTAAATGGCAGAGCCCTCATGAATGAGATTAATGCTCTTATAACAGAGGACCCAGGGAGTTACCTTGGCCCCCACAACCACCACGTGAGGGCACAGGTAGAAAGTGCCATCTATGAGAAATGAGCCCTCACCAGACACCTAATCTCCTGGTGCTTTGGTGTTGGACTTCTCAGCCTCTGGAACTGTGAGAAACAAATTTCTGTTGTTCAAAAGCCACTCATGTTATGCTGCTGCCATTACAGCAGCTTAAATGAACTAACAAACTCCCTTTGACACTGAAAACTAAAGTCTTAGAAAGCATCATTTTCTCAAGGCTTGAGGTACCAAAATACATCAATTATTTTCTAACTTCTCTCCCTATCAAGAATTCCTACTTTCTCCCACCAATATTCCAGCTATGAAAATAAATGTTGATGTTAAAATTCATGCCAGTCACAGTACCACCTTAAGTGGTCCAAAGAATGCAAAGGAGGAAAGAAAGAAGCAGGTGCTTTTCAGCCACAGCAGAAAGCTGGCACTTGGAGAGCTGAAGGGTTTGGTCCCCAGCACAGAACAACTGAATGGGCAGTCAGCAGAGGTGAATCTCAGTCAACTGGACAGCTCCTCTTACTCTGTTTTTGGCCTCCCATCATTAATACTTCTGCAGCCCCTCCCTCCAGCTGCTTCTAGCTTGTGTTGATCTCTCTGGAGAGCAGCAGATCGTTAGGGAGATCCATCTGTTAGACGAGCCAGGGAGCATCCATGCCACTGGAACACTGCAAAGGTGTTTCCCAAGGTATGCACAGTTTCTCCAGACGCTCAAGTGAAAAGTTGCCCAAACCTTCTGGAAACCCATGGACTCTTCTCCTTTTTAGAGTCACGATGGACATTTGCATTTCCTGCACCAACTTGACCTTGGGATCTATTTATCAAGTGGCATTATCCCAAGCATTGTGTGTTCTAAAGAACATCTTCTGGAAAGCACTTGCTTTTTGTTTCTTTCCCACATGGGCAGAGGGCAGAGTGCAAATCTTCCAAACTTTTACACTCTGCTTCCCTTCTAATTATAAATCCCAACTTTCAGTCATTTCTTTGTTCCCACATCTAAGTATAGGTTGTTAGAAGCAGTCTGGCCACATCTTGAATGCTTTCCTGCTTAGGAATTTCCCACCCCTACCTTCTTGTCTCCCTTTAAGCTGATCCAAGTCAGGTAACAGAAAGCTTCCCGTTACCAGCAACTAACCCATAGAGATCTCCAGCAACTCGATTCTTTCCTCCTCAGAAGAAAGAATTCCACCAAGGGGCATAAGGCAGAGTGAGAGACCAAGGCAACTTTTAGAGCAGGAGTGAGAGTTTATTAAGTTTCAGAGCAGGAACAGAAGGAAGTAAAGGACACTTGGAAGAGGGTCAAGTAGGCAACTCGAGAGATCCATCAGCACTGTCTCACCCTTGACTTGGGGTTTTATACATTGGCATGGTCCAAAGTTGGCATTTCTCCTCCCTTAATTTTTCCTTGGAGTGGGCTGTCTGCAAACGCAGTGGCCTGCCGGCACTTGGGAGGGGCCACATGCATAGTGTGTTTACTGACGTTGTGCAAGTGCTCATTTGAGGCATTTTTCCCTTACCAGTCGAGTGTTCCTAGAGGAAGGCTATATACCAGTTAAACTCCATCATTTTACCTCTTAGCGTGGATGCTGGAGCCCACTTGCCCAACTCCTGAGATCCCATCAGGAAGCTGCTCCTCAACAGCTCAGGTGTCCTCTATCTATTGGGAGACTGCCTTTCCCTGGCACTGGTAGTGACCAGTTATTATTTTAGAGAGACAGTATAACAACTTCCTGACTATCACCTGATGGTCACCTGACATTCCTGGGAGGGCACAGGGGGCCTCTCCACCTGCTCATGTCTGGATAGCTATCTACTCTCACAACCCCTCCTAACATAGCTGACCAAGCAGAATTCCCAACCATAAGGAAGAACCTAACTATTCATCTCCTTGAGTTACTTCTTCCCAGGTTGCTGAAGCTGAGACAGGAGAATAGGGTCGGGAAGCAGGGAACCTAAGGCCGATGCAGGCTGACTGGATATCAGGGGCTACTTCCTTTTCAACCACGCCCTTTTCTGCATGGCAGTTGCTGACTGGCTGTTGGAAATGAAAGTACCTCTGATTGGTCCCCTCCTGCAACCAATCAGACTGGTTGCGGACCTACTCTTCCCCTCCCACAACCAATCAGACTGGTCATGGGGCACTACTTCATTTGCATAGAGTGAGCCAAGGGGAAAGCTCTAGAGAGTATTTAAACCCAAGAAAATTCTGTAACCGAGCCTAAGCCACTTGGCTTAGTACTCCCACTCTGTGCAGCGTACTTTCGTTTAAAATAAATCTCTGCTTTTGCTGCCTTGCTTTGTTTGTGCTTTTTGTCCAACTCTTTTAAGATGCCAAGAATCTGGACAACTACCCTCAGCTGGTAACATAGTGAGACTCTGGCACTCCTGATAAAAACCTGACCAGATCCAGCCAGCTAAAGACAAGATGGACTCCAGCACTGACCTTCCACCAAGATTTTCCTCATTATCTTGTAGGGTTTTTTTTTTTTTTTTTTTTGGTTTTTTTTTGCTTGTTTGCTTTTTCTTGAGACGGAGTCTCACTCTGTCGCCCAGGCTGGAGTGCAGTGGTGCAATCTTGGCTCACTGCAAGCTCCACCTCCCGGGTTCAAGCGATTCTCTTGCCTCAGCCAACCAAGTAGCTGGAACTACAGGTGCCGGCCACCACACCAGGCTAATTTTTGTATTTTTAGTAGAGATGGGGTTTCACCATATTGGCCAGGCTGGTCTCTAACTCCTGACCTCGTGATCCTCCCGCCTTGGCCTCCCAAAGTGCTGGGATTACAGGAGTGAGCCACCGCGCCCAACCTATCTTGTTATAATACTCAAAATCAGACCCAAAGGTGGAGATTTAACAGGCTAATGAGACACGTGGCTCATGAACTGCACCGGTGTGAAAAGTTCCCCACCTCTACCTGCCTATATGTTGCTCCTTTCCCCGCCTCAACTTCCTGAAAATTACAAGAGTGAAGCCCTCCAGAGAAAGAGCACAGGGACCCGTTTCCTGGATGCTGCTCCCTTGTGACTGCTCCTCAAGCCACAAGCCTACTAAACCTTGTCTGAGAAAAATTTGTTTGGCTGGTATTAATTTTTCCTTTTTTTTTTTTGAGATAGGGTCTTTGCTTTATTGCACAGTCTGGAGTACAGTGGTATAATCATGGCTCACCGATGCCTCAACCTCCTGGGCTCAAGAGATTCTCCCGCCTCCGCCCTCCGAGTAGCTGCAACTTCAGGCCCGCATCACCATGCCCAGCTAATTTTTGTATTTTTGTAGAGATGGGGTTTTGCCATGTTGCCCAGGCTGGTCTCAAGCTCCTGGGCTCAGACAATCCTCTTGCCCCGGCCTCCCAAAGTGCTGGGATTACAGGCATGAACCACCACACGCAGCCTGGCCTGGTATTAATTTATGTTTACAGGAAAGCCAAGAACTCAGAGTCTGAGCTGCAGAAGCACTTGTGTGCTTCCCCTTTTTCCATTAGCACCCCTAGCATATTAATATTAGTGACTTTAAATTACTGCTCTGATAATTCAAAAACCACTGCCTGAGTCTGGGCCTGTGGGCTGCCCTGTCTCTTCAGACTGTGCTTTCTGCCTTTTAGCATGCCTTGTGATTTTTTGTCGAATACTAGACAGAACCTATTATGTGAAAGAACTGAGGTAAACAGGCTTTTGGTGTGAGGTTTTATGTTTATCTGGGTAGGAGTTAGCTGTTTTTACTGTTTGCTGTAACTGTAGATGCCGGAGGCTAAAATTTCCTGCAGTATTCTTGTTTGGTCTCCTTTAACCCTTGCATTACTTTTCACTGTAATCCTGTTACCATGCAAGAGCCTAACTGATGTGGAGGCGAGTGTGAGAGGAGGTGAGTGTGACAGGAGGTGAGTGTGATTAGGTACTGGGCTGTACCGGCTGTGCCCTTCACAAGGGGGTCTCAGCTTTACTTTTCCCCCTTAATGGAGACAGGAAGGCTAGAAGGGGCAAGAGCTGGGCATTTCCCATCCCTTGGGTCAGTTAGATTCTGATAAAAGCTAAGTCTGCTGGGCTTTGGTAAATAGTTTGAGAGCAGGCTTTTGTTAAAGAGAAAAGCCTGTTGTGGATATATTTCAAAATGGTTACTTTCCCCCTCCCTCTGCCAGAAACAAGTAGGATTTTTGTGAGACACTGGTGAGACTCCTGGAAGTAAAATTCATGAAAGTGTGGCGGCTCTGGGCCCCACAGTCTTTAACTCTCAAAGCCAGTGCATGCTGGGCCCCCAGCAATTCGTCAATTACAGCTTATCTGTTCCCACTAGTATAGGGATTGGGGTGGGATTCTGCTCTTGGACTTCTGCTTCCGGTCACCTGTCATTCCAGGTATCCTCTCTCCACTTCTCAGGGCAGCAGTTTACCCTGTCACCTCAGTTCTTCCATGGGTCTAGGAAGAGTCATTGATTTTCACTTTGCTCAGCCTTTTCCCTTACTGTACAGGAGTACAGACATTCAAGCTCTTTACATGTTGTCTCATTAATATTTTGGCTTATTAATGTGTCATTCGGGTAGTTTTATAGTCCTCCACATTTACAATGTTCACAACTTCCAAAACATATGTTTGTTTCAAATACCTTGTTATAACATGCTGTCTTAAAGTACTATTTACACACAGGAGAAATGCACTCCCCACATACAAGCATTTAGAGAAACTGCTAATCCTTCCTACAGTGCCAGTCACCCTAAGTGAATCTTTCCCAGTACATTTGACATTTAAAACCTCTCTGGCTGTTTTGATTACAACGATCCTTTCTTTATAAATAACTTCTAAAACCAGATGTCAGCCAACATGCAGATGGCTCCATTAGTCAGTTCAGGCTGCCAGTTAGGCTGTCTGGATCAGCATCGGCATACCTCTCCATAACGAAGCCCCTGCAAGATGACACAGTGAGCATCAGCACTACGTGCTTCTCCCTTCCTCACGCACAACTCATTTGTTGATGCCCTGTAAGGCAGCAGGAGGGAAATGACTTCATTTAAATAAAGCAGTTTCCTAGATGGTAGTTTATCATGGTCATTTGCCTCTGAACATGCATTTATAAGCAGCGCATCACAAATGCGTTAGGTATTCTGCTGTCCTCTATTCCTTCTTCTCCCCAAAAAAAAGAAAGAAAGAAAGAAAGGAAAAAAGAAAGAAAGAAAGAAAGAGAAATCAATATACGCTTTAGAAATAAAACAAACATTATTTTCAAAATAATATGTTGGCAAGAGTAGATTTTGGTGTTTTGGGAAAAACTTGCTGTTTTTCAGATTGTAGATGGATTTTGTTTGGTTTTTAGGTTGTGATTTGATCATTTCTCCTTGCTCCTTTTTCTCACCATCAAATGAATTTCCCATTTACTCCTGTGATTTTTGGCTTCAAAACTTACTTGCTTACCTAGGTAAATCTGTGGTGAATTTCATTACAGTTTATGACTTTAGAATTACATTTATGTCAACAGACCAAAATGTCACACACAGGGTTTGGATTTCACTGTGGAGTTCTTTAGGCGCTGCATGCAAGGAAGGAGATGGGAAAACTTTATACCAAAGCCACGTTAATGGGGAAAGGCTAGACAGTGTAGACATAAAGGAAGAAGACTCCCTTTCTCTGACATTTTAGCATTATGTGGGGCAAACGGGTCTTAACCCTTCCTAATCCTTGGCCAAGATTCGCATAACAGTACATAGTAGATTATATACATTATAATACCCAGATAGGCTGTTACTTATTCCAAAAATTTATTCCTAAAATCCAAGTCACTTAAAGAACATAGAAAACTTACTTTACAAAAGATTCTCAAAGGACATCTTTTCACAAAGCCAAGAATTCATTACCAAAATCATCAACCACTAATTACCTCTACCCAGAATGTGCGTGCTTTGTAAATTCAGATTTTTGTATACTGGATTTTCCTAAAGAGAGAACACAACTGAACTTTTGTTACAGAGGTTATACTTCTTTCTCAAAGAACATCGATTGCTACATAAAATTTGCCTCACATTTCTCCAAAAACTTTTCAGATAAAAGTGAGATACATTTCCAATTCAATTACATGAAAGAGTAATGAAATCTGTATTTCCCCAACTATCTCTCATTCTTTGCACAAGAGATCTGAAGTTCTCTGGAGGCCACTGAGCCAGTGGTAACCCCATATCGACGAGGACCTGCATGGGTCACAAGTGTGAGGAGAATTCCCCTTAATCAAGGTCACAGATGTCTCATGCAAATGAGCTATAAGATGATTAATCATTAGAGAAAAAAACACCCACTCAAACTGAGGAGGAACAAGACATCACCTCTGCCTGGAAGAAAACAGACCATAGGCAGTTTATCCTAAAAGGTAAGTGCTCAGCAAACAACTGACGGATTTTCTCAGCTACCTCCTGAAAGGAGAAACTAGTGTAACTTGGTCACCTTGGTTCAGCAGGTCTGGTAGAATGACCCCTGCAGAAACAAGGAAACAATCTCCCAGGATCATCCCTTTCTCCCTGCTCCCACCCACCTAAGCTCAACTCATCCCTCTCCTCCACCCCCACACACCTGTCCCATCCATCACACCCACACCATCCATAAACGGTTCTGCTGAACCCACCTCTTCAATATCCCAGGTATCCATCTGCCTCTTTCCAACTCTACTGCCACTCCCTCCTCCATCAGCCCACCTTAACCTTCAGGGACCCTCAACTGGTTTCACTGCCTCCAGTCTTAGACTCCTCGATCCATTTTCACCAAAGCAATCTGAATGATCTTTCTAATTTACAGAACTGCTGGTTAAAGACTTTCAGTGGTTCCTCGATGCCATAAATCCCTCTCTGAATAAAATCCAAATGCTTTAGTATAATTCGTAAGACCCTTAATAAACTGGCTCAGAGGTGCCCAAATGTTGCTATACGTTGTAATCTGAGAAACTTTTCTAATTCCCAATGCCCCAGCACACTACATACCAATTAGGTCACAATGTCTGGGGCACAGAAGGTAGGGAGGAGCCAGGGATTGGGAGGTTATTTATTTTATTTTATTTTATTTTATTTTATTTTAAATTTAATTTTCTCTAAATTCCCAGGTGACTCCATTGTGCAGCAAAGTTTAGGAAGCACTAAACCAATGACTTACCTCTCTAGCTAGGCTCACCTATGACCACTTCTCCACCACATATAAAAATCATTTCCCTGTTTTCAATACTTTCTTATGCTTTCTTACATCTAAGGCTCCACCTAGGCTGTTCCCTCCCTCCAAACACTTCTCCCCTGTTAAGTCTTATGCAAATCTCCTTCCCAAAATAGCTCAACTCAATTTACAGTAGAGTTCTAAAAAAATTCCCTAATAAAAACTGCCTACTGGAGAAATCCATATGAAGTTACCAATCAGGAAAAGATCTATTAGATGGCAATAAATGCAGATCTGTGTTGTGAAAGCTGTGATATGTAATTAGGGAATACAGCCGGGAATCAGCTAAAATGATAAGGAACGGCCCTGCGTCAATGAGCCTTTATGCATTAAGTACGACAGAGGAGCTAAGAGTAAACTATAAAGCCAGCAGTAAATCAGAAGTCACTGGGAAACTAGAACCAGCTGATGGTAGTCTGAGTATGGACAGCCCTCAGCAGACAGACAACCTGAGATCTGCATAGAGAATGTGGTAGCACATCCCAGCCTGATGAAAAGGGGCAGGTGATTTTGTAACAACAAATTCAGATGATCCTTTAATAAGCCATTATCTGTTAATCTTTCAATGAACCACTATATGTGTAAACAACACTGAAGTCTGTGTTAGGGGGTGTTGGTTGGTTGTACTTTGCTGATTAGGTTGTTCTGCAGTACCACCACACACTTTTTCTCTCTCTCCCTCTCCTTCTCCCTCTCCCACCCCAGAGTCCTCAAATTTGTATTTGATGCCATAGCTATGTGCTCTCCAGCAATTCATACATCCCCTATTATATCACTGAACACAAGGTATTGGGACTGCCCATTGACCTGACAGTATCCCCCAGATTCTTTGGGGGCAGGAACGTGTCCACCGTCACCACAAGTCACCAACAGGAAGCCCCAGATGTAAGCCTAAAAAAAAGGGCTGTGTCTTTGCTATTCAACACTGTGCCTCCAGCACTTGCTACAGTGCTTGCACATACTGGGCACTCAAATTCTTATTTGAGTCCCGGTTGGACTCCTTATAATTGATACTTAGCACTGTGGTCTTGAAAATCTGAGAGGCATTTCTTTAGGGAACAAGAGCCCAGAACAGAAGGCAAGAAGAGAGAGCCCTGCACTTTCTAACACACACTGGGAATAACCCCTACTTTTCAAAACCCTCCTCCATAAGCACATTCCCAGTGGCTAGAGATGAGTTAAATCTTTGAAGTTTTGATATTTCCTTTTTTCTGCTATCTTAGTCTAATCTTCAGGACCACTGTTAACGTATTCTCTAAGCTGGCAATATTGTCCTCAAATATCAAACAATAAGTCCTCAGATAATAAAGAAAATTCAGTCTACTTCTCAAGGTTGTTATGAAGTTTAAGTGAAAGTGTATAAAAAAGGCCTTCTGAAACACAAAAAATACTACACAGACATAAGCTATGAGACTTATAGATTAATAGTAAGCAAAGCCTAAAATAAATTCTTATTAAAATTTTTATACTTCAATTTCTGAGGATAAATGAATGCTATGAATTAAACTGCCACCCTTTTGAGTTAAAGACACATTCAAAAGGACTGCAGCTTAATTCATAATCTGAATCACTTTCAGAAGATGGTCCCAAGTTATTTGCTTGTTCCTAGATTATTTGTAAGTTTCAGACATTCTACACATGTAAAAAGTTCATTAGAAATCAAGGAGCTTTATGTGTCTAAATATGGTTTGTGGATGAATGTTTGTATTACATAAAACCCTTCAACACACCGAAGATTCTACGATGCACGGAAAGTTATTTAAACTAACTTACACTCCCCCAGACAAACCTACAATGGGCAAATTCACTTGAGGCCACAATTAATATATTATTATCAATGAGAATCAGAAATACATTACAGTTGTGGAACAAAGGAATCTGTGAGTGGCTTTTTATCTCTCATTTTTGACAGCTAGATCCAAACATGAGCTGCTTCTTCCCAACAAGTACAAACCATTACGTTCTCACTTACCCTCCATGCCAAAAAAAAGAGCACATGGTCCTAGTCTTAGCTAAATAAGACACCCAGGTCAAAAACTGAGAAACTCTCAATCTTAAGACGGCTTCATATATCTAAAGAAAACAGGATAAATAATTTGATCTGAGGCCAATACCACAGTCAACAAATAAAGAACATTTTATGGAAATTTTTTTCTAAGGAACATTTATTAGGGTCGTGCAGGTGTATGCATGTTTTAATACACAGAAGTAAAAAGAGGGAAAAGTTCTGTAACATCATACTCAGATAACTGTTGAGTTAAAAATAATGAGAATAATAAAACATGCCAAATGTACACACACACACACGTGACTGAAATAGGACCCCCTTCTGTATCTCCAACTCAGTGGCTTTTGCGACCTTTCCTAAAAGTTTCCTGTGATCCCTTTTGAAGGGGTTGAGGGAACCCCTGCAGCATCTATTTAATCTATCAGTAAAACATACTCCTTTTGATTCTTAACACAAACAGGGTCATGTACTACATCTTGCTTTTTACTTAATAACAAAATGCACTGGAATTCCCTCTCTGACAGCACATACAAATCCTCTTCACTCGCAACAACTACAAACCATATCATCACCTGGATGCACCATGATTTATTTAACCAGTGCCTCATTGATGTGTTCTGACTGTTCCCAGGTTTCTGCTGTGACAACCAGTGCTGAAATAAGCATCCTTGCCCACGTATTTTAGCAAACCTTTGGAAGCACAGAAGAAGAGTAACTTTTTAATGGTGGGATTGCTGGAGAAAGGGGCACAGGAATTTTATTTTGATATTGCTAAACTGCACTCCACTCAAGTGAGATTGCTCAACTTACTCTACCAAGGACAATATTTTCATGCATTCATTCACTCACCACATGTTCACTGACCCCTTACATTTCTCTATTTTCAGGATATAGCAGTGAAATAGATTTTTTGTTAAAAAGGGCCTCTGCCTATGGACCTTACGTTTTGGTAGGGAGTTTCTGTTTGCCCAAACCTTCATGAGTGCTTAGATTACTTTTTGTTTGATTGTTTGCCAAACGGGTCAAAAATGATGTCTCACTAACATACCTTCCCATTAATTATCAGTGAAGCTGCACATTTTCATTTGTTTTTAGCATTTGTATTTTTTTTCTTAAACTACCAATTCACACGCACACACACAAAAAAATGTATTAGACTGATGGAGCTTTTTCATTACTTATTTCTATGAGTTTTTTTTAATTAAGATTGTTACTGGCAACTCTTTCTTGGTCATATGTATTACAAATAATTGCCAGTTTGTGGCTGATCTTTTGACTGCCTTTGTAGGTTTTTTTTTTCCTTAAACCTAAATTTTATATAAGGAAATCTAACAATTATTAGTTTATGACCTTTGAGGTTTTTGCCTTGCTTAGAAAGGCCTTCACCACTCCAAAATTATTAATAAATCTACTCATGTTTTCTTATAGAAATTATACTTTATGCTTTTATGTTTAAATCTTTTATCTATCTGGAATTTTCTTGGGTATAAAGAATGAAATAAAGATATTGCATTTTGTTTACTCTTGTTTCCTTAAACATTTAAAATTATTGGAAAATCTACTTTCCCTAGTGATTTGAAAACCTACTTTCCCTAGTGATTTGAAAACCATCATTATCATAATCTAATTTCAGGTCCATTTCAGGTTTATTTTTGAACAATTATTTTGTTCCATTCATCTGTGTGCCTTTTTCTTTTTCTGTAGCAAGATCTTAAATTATTCAGTTCTAATGTTTAAATTATTATAGCTTCATAATGTATCTAACATCCAGTAAGTCAAGTTGCCCCTCATTACTTATCTTTTGGAGTATTTTCCAAGTTATTCTCACAATTTGATTTTTCCAGATGAATTTTGTAACACTGTACCAAATTCCTCTGCACAACAAGAGCAACAAAACTCTGTTGCCCTTTGAATTAGGATTTCATTGATTATTGGATTAATTTATAAGAATTGATATCTTTCAATATTGTCTTCCTTTCTAACCTGTTCCTTTTTCCATTTAACTCTTCTAGCAAATCTCTTTGTGTTTTAAAGTTTTCATCATACATATCTTCCACATTTCTTATTTCAGATTTATCCACAGGTATTTTATTATTTTGGCTGTCATAAGATCCTATTTCAAAACACATTTTATTGACTAGGTATATAGGCACAGTACGAAATTCCAAACTCCCCCACCTTTATCCTTAGCCACCCAGATTTCTTCCTGGAGGCACCATGTCATCAGGGAAATTCATTTCAAATCTGCATCAGGATGTTAATCATTTTGCTTTTATGAAATTAGAATATCATGTCTCTAAAAGATAAAAGTTCAACACTAACAAGAATCTCACACAATCCTGCCAAGTCTAAAGAAAGTGTCTCTCTCCCCTCTGTAAAGAGTACCCCATCCCTGCCTCTTAACCTTGAGTCCTCCTTCTCCTTGAATCTCCCACATCCAATCCATTACTAAGTCCTAGAGAGTCTATCTGCAATATATGCCTCATATTCATCTACTTCTCTCTCAATTCAACCTGACTATAAAATCTGAAAGGCAGAGACAACCTTTATTTCATATCCCACTGTTTATCTTGTACACAGCACATTGTCTGGTATAAATAGTTGCTATAAACTCAATGTTTGTGGGCCCCCAAAATTCATATATTGAAATTCTAACCTCCAAGGTGATAGTACTTGGAGATGGGGCCAGTGGGAGGTGGTTAGATCACGGGGGCAAAGCCCTTATGAATAGAATTAGTGCCCTTATTACAAAGGCCTGAGAGAGATCCCTTGCCTCTTCTATAATGATACAGGGAGATGGTGCCATCTATGAACCAGAAAGCCCTACCAGACATCAAATATGTCCTTTGATCTTGGACTCCCCAGCCTTGAGGTCTATGAGAAATAAATTTCCATTGTTTATAAATCACCCAGTTTATGATATTTTGTTAGAGCAGCCCAAATGAACTAATACAGTTGATAGCCATATACCACGGCTTGATCCACAGAAAATATGCAACACATTGTTAGACGTTGGAGCTGCATTGTCAGCCAAGGCTATCAAAGTGGGGTCCACCTGATACCAGCGCATGATAAGGTAAGGACACAGGGCGAGAGTAAGTACACAGAAACTTTTGTAGCAATTTGACATTGCTGTCACATTCAAGCTCATGGTCATTCTTCCGGTAATCCGTGTTTCTTATATTCTATAACAGTATCAGTGTACAGCAGATTAGAAATAAAAACTTATGGCCCTTTACCAGAGATGGTTTAGGAAGCACAAGCATGCAGGGTACCATCACCTCTTGCCTTGGCTTCCCCAGGAGGCATCCATCGGGAGTTGCTGCTTCCTCTCTTGCCTTTCCAGGGTGATGCTTCTGTGAATCACATGCCTGCAACTCAAACCCTTTGGTGATTTGCCACAGCATTTGCCCCGACCTACTAATGTCTGCATCACTGGGCTCCTTCCTGCTTCTGTGACTTCACCTAGGTCTTCCTTGTAAACATCCAGGCACCCTGGCTTCATTGTTCTTCCCGGGACACATCACTCCCTTTTTTGCCTTGAGGCCTTTGCATGTGGCATTCTCTCAAAAAAAAAGAGAGGAAGAAGAATTTTGTAGCAAGCCATTTTTAAAAAGTGAAAAAATTCTCACATCCGTGGCCCATTTTATTTGATAAACATAAAAATCTCACACCTTCCCTACTGTCCTTAAAAAATCCCCATATAAATTGCAAATAGTTGCCAATTCAAATTGAAGCAGTAGTAAGGTCAAAAACAAGCATTTACTTTAGTGTTGAGAGATCCTGACCTCCTAAAGCAATGTGGGCAGTGTAAGTAAGTGCTTTTCCGCCAACTCAGGTCATGAGCCTTGAGGCTGACCCCTGAGGCTGCACGGCAGCTTGTGTCCTAGCCCCGTGTGCCCCACCGAGATGCTGGCAGGTGCCACTCCTTTCTAACCACTACAACTTCAAGGCCAAGATGAATTAGTTCATAAAACAGGAAATCAAGTAGCTAATCAATGTGTGCTGAAGTGCTCACGCTCACTACTAAGTCAAGAAATTTAAAACTTGATGCTATTTTCTGCCTATCAAGTTAACGAACTTAAAACAGCAATACTACCCAATGTTACGTGTAGTATATGGTTAGTTTTGTACATTTGAGATTACTAGTGGCAACTTGCAGAAAACAGTATATACAATATGATACGACGGAAATTGTGCATGTGTGTGTGCACGCGTGTGTGTAAAATATCAAAATGCCTCATAGACCTTATGAAAATGTCCCTTTTATGGACAGCAATTCTACTCTGAAAAAATATCCCAAAGAACTAATGCACAAAAAGCCCACTAGAGGATAATTTATAATTGGAAAAATATATGAGCCATTCAGATCAATGACTCTCAAATGAAAGAAGAGGCCTGGCCTCCACTGAGTGAAGAGACAGCCAACTCATCAGTCATAATTACTGATGGACAGTGCCATTACCCACTCACACCCCACTGATAAGTAAAGGACTGAGCCATTGGACAACATGTGGAAAGAGCAAGTAAAGATTTTAACAAATGCCCCTCAATGGAAAATGAAGCTTCTGTAGGAAAAATATATAATAACAAAGAAAAACATATGTAATAATTTTTAAAATACCAGATTTTCATAAACAGATTACAACTACATAAAAATTATGCATTAAAAAAGAATGAAAGAAAAATTAAATGTCCTAAGTGGTTTGCATTCTGTTGGAGGGGTCTTAGATAAGTTTTCTCTCAATTTCTCCATTTTTTTTTTAGTTTTTCAGAACAAATTCGTATTTATCAGTTAAAAAATGTTAATCCTTTCAAAACCAAGCAAAGTCAAAATGTGCCCACCTCAGCATGCTGTAGGAAAATATTTATCAACAGCAGGTCAGTAAGACTCTTCTAACTTCTTTTTACCATGTGACTTGTTACTGTACAGAAGACAGTATGGAGCTAGTTTAGTAGAGAAGCAGAGAAAAATCATCCTGTCCACTAATCCAAAAGTAGGATTAAGTATATCATCTTTTTGCTCTCCCAGAAAGAAAGTGGCTTACATACTGGGACACACTGGGAATGTGAAGGGGCTTAAACACTCCAGCAGCGTGCATAAAATACTGTTATATCAAGGACAAGCATTTCTAATCCAAAATTCCAGAAACATAGTAAAGGCCCTCTGAAATGTAAATACTCATAAATTCCAAACCTGATTACCCAGTAGCTGTAACTGCTGACAGCTTACGAGGTTCACATCAATTTCAAGGGGCCTCAAGCCACCATGGAATGAGCAGGATCCAGTCATCTACAAATCATTCAATTCCCAGGGCAGCCATCACATGGCTGTTAAAAGAACCAGTAGACTGTTAATTCTCTTTCCTGCTTTGTCTCCTCAGTCATTTCATTCGACATTCACTGTGAATACTTCCCTCACTATTAATGCATTTAGCTTCAGAATCTCAACTACACAACCAAATGTGCTCATCAGATTGGGGGTGAGGGGTTCTGGAAAGAAAGGAGGAAAAACAACCCCGGAGTTGATGCAATACTGACGTTTAGATTTCAGTCACACAAGATAAATCAAGAAGCTCAAAGTTCATGCTCCCTTAACAACCTTAAACCTCTACCCTAGGCATATGGATCAGAATGGCAGTTTTATTAGGATCACAATTGTATCAAATACACACTCAAATCATGTACCACATCTACCATTATATGTTCTCCCTTTAAAATGAAAAAAAGGTTATATTCCAAACTGGAGATAAGGCAAAGCTGTAAGTTTGAATAGAATTGAATTTTGATCCGGCACTGTCTCTTGGCACTCAGTATAAATCTTCATACCCCCATCTGACTACTGCCTCAAGGCCACAATCTCTAAACTCATTCCTAATCCAGTTACATGGGAGGACAAGCATGGTCAGACAGCAAAGAAAACTCCAAATACACACTTGTAGGGGCTATAGTGGGAGAGGGGCAAGCAAAACAAGTACGCCAAGTTCTCCCAACAAGGTGTAGAGGAAAGGACACTGGACCAGGAATCAGGACCCAACTTGGGGTCCCCAGTCACCCACCATCTGTGTGATCGTGGGGAAGCTATTTGCTCTTCTTTGTCTGAATTGATTCCTCTATAAAACAAGGAGGTCTCATTCAATGTTTTGGGTGGTTATATAAATGAGTCAAAGGTCTCTGCTGGCATTACTTTCCCTAAGTTTCTCAGTTGAAATTTCCTTTCCTTTATCCCTGTGAGGTCTGCTGGAGGTTTCACATGTGGGCAGGCAAACTGTGGGATCCCACTACTTCAACACAAGGCTTTGATAAAATGCCTGGGACTATGAGGATAAAGTAGTATTTTCCCTCATTCATTCAATCAGCAGACACAAAACTACCATACACGTACATCATATACAATACAATGTGCTAGACATTTTAGGAAATGGGTAGAAAATTGTAATTTTAAAAGGTACAGTTCCTACATGAAGGCATGTAATGTTTATAATCCAACTGGATAACAAATTGAAGAAAACTGCAATGACAAAGATCTAGAACAAATTGCTAATTAATCACAGTATCTTTCCCACTGAGCCTAGGTGTGACCTCAAAATCCTTCTCCACACAAGCACTCCATTCAGCACCCAAAAGACTGTCCTCACCAGGTGAGGTGAGGTGCTTTGTGCAGTCCACAATAGGCACTCTTCTGAGCGCATGCCCAGCTACTTCCAGTGCCCTCCCACTACTGCTCCTACCAAGCTCCTTTGACTTCCACCTTCGCCTCCAAATCACTAGGTATTCCCAAAAAGAAGGGAGCCACTAAGAACCTAGTCACACTGGCTGAACACTCTTGTCAACTCACCTTTGCCAATCTTTTTAAAAGTCCGAATTCTAGGGAAAGAGGAAACACCTATACCCTTGCTTTAATCCATATCAAGCACACATCTATTTTAAATACTAATGGATGACCATTATGTTATCCTTAGACACCTAGTACATTCCTATTAACAAAGGCAATGCATGGTGTCCCTGGGCTTAAATCAATACACAAACGCGCCAACAAGTTTTTTACACACACAAACACAAACACAAACATAAACACAGCTTCTCATGTACTGTGAGAGGCTGCATCCCTAACCAAGTTGGCCATCTGGGAAACGAATGCCTTTGTGGTGGCATTGTGAATTGCCTCCACTCTTCTGGAAAGCAATCTGCCAATACGTTTTAGAAGCCATAAAAATGTTCATACTCTTTGACCCAGTAATGCCATGTCTGAGACTCTATCATAAGAGACTAATTCAAAATATGAAAATAGCTACATGTACAAATGTATACCTTTAACTGTTATTAGTAACTGTAAAAAGTTGGAAGTAACGCACATGTCAACAACAGAGTTAAATAATTAATGATGTGGCATCACAACAGAATATGATACAGCCATTCAAATGGTAACTATGGGGATTATACAGTGATAAGGGGAAACGCACATACAAAACAACTGATACAACTATGAAAAGCCACTGAACAATTGTTTAAAAACTGATTACCATGTTTTAGGGTGGTAAATGTGGGTGCTTTCCCTTCTTTATTTCTAAGCTTTTTGTAATACTGCTATGATGCCTCTATAATTAAAAGATAATCTTTTATTTAAAAATGATATGCATGCTTTGATCTCAAGGATACAGAGCCACACCAGACCATGCAGCCTGCTATGTTACTCAGGGAGGAAGAGGGACCATTAGCATTCTACGGACGCACAGGCATCATGGGCTGAGCCACACAGAGCAGTCCACGGAGAGCCACCTGGAGGTGTTGCGTACTTGGTCAATGATTGCCAAAAAATGAGCAGTGTCCATCTGCTAACCCCAGTCAATTCCCCTCATTACGAGCATCCCGAGGCAGAGAATTCCCCGGGCGCACTTCACATACTGTCAGCTTAGTTATCCATTTAAAAAATTTATTTGAGGTCACATGGGGCTGTACAATCATTTGGTTAAAGTCACAAGCCCAGATTTTCACATTGGGAGCAATGAGAAATGTCTGTGGCAAGAAATGCAATAATCACAAAGATGGAGGAAGGCAAGCAGAAGCAACTTTTCACTTTCAGAGAAGCAGGGGGCTTGGGGAGCAGCCAGCGTGGCCGCAAACACATTTGTCTAAGAAACAGAGTCGTGGGGAGGGCAGGCTCAGAGGGAGGGCAGGAGCGGCTCTCCCGAGCTGACACAAGGATGAAGACACAGGAGGTAAAGGTGTGCGCTCAGCCCTAACAAGCCTCAACCAGCAGATGGCAACCGACTTCACCTTGGGGCCATTTAGCCCCACGTGCAGCTTCAGCCCTGTGCCAGTCCAGGCACCAGTCCCACTCAGGAAAATCTCAGAGATCTCCAGTCCAGCTTCAACCAGTCAGTCCCAGGTGCTGCTCTTGCATTCTTGCCCTTCATCTCTATGTCCAGGCACCTCTTTATACCCTAGTGTCAATGCTCAAGTTCTTTTCTCTCCTCTATACCTTCACTTCCCCACTGAGTCCCTGCCAGGGAAGCAGCAGGGCAAAGAAGCTTCACATACAGGTTGTGAAATCAGACGGCACTGACTTAAAATTCAAGTTAAGCTACTCTTCTCCCTGTATGATCTTGGGAGAATTACTCTCTTGAACTTCGGTTTCCTTCTCTAAAAGATTTGTACCTGCACCACAGGATCATTATAAGGGTCAAATGAAACAACAAATGTAAACCCCAGTATCTGACACTTATGAATGCTTAATAAAAGTTTGCTATATTTACTCTCGTTCCTCAGCAGCTGGCACCCTGTGTGTCTTCTTCCTCCACTAACCCTGTCCATCGAACATGAACCACACAGTCCCGCTCTCTGTTGCTCAGCCCTCCTTATGCTGATCTCAGTCCTGAACTCAGCGTGCCTTCTGGAACCACTCCACTGCCCAAACCAAAACACTCTCATTTCTGCACCGTGAGCCGACTCTCCCTGCCAACAGTTATAGCCCCCCACACAGTCAGGAAGTGCACAGTAATTTCATACCTTGGTACCGAAGCCACACTGCCTGGTTCACAGCCCTGCTCTTTCACTCATTAGTTCATGTGACTTTGCTCAAGCTACTTAACTTCTCTGTGCCTCATCTCCCCATCTGTAAAAGATAGTAATAGTGTCCACCTCCTAAGATTGAGGAGAGGATTCAGTGTGCAAGTAAAGCTCTGAGAACTGTGCTAGCACATAATAACCAGGCACATTTTTTTTTAACTTCAACTCCCCAAGGCCAGAGGTACTTGATTAGCCTATGTCATCCCATGTCATCCGATAACCCAAGCAGCTTTGCGACTCTCTGACACAAGGGAGATGTAATCTCTCTGGACAGCAAAGCCTTGCTATCTACCACGTGGTGCACAGACCGACATGGGCACTGCCTGGAAGCCTGTTAGAATCTCAGTCCCCACCAAGCCCTACTGAAATAAAATCTGAATCTTAACATGTTTTGCAGACAGAAGTCACCTAGAGGTCTTGTTAAACAACACAACAACACAGGTTTGGATGGCGCCTGAGATTCTGCTGTTCCTAGGACCAAACTTAGGGGAGCAGAGCTCTAGAGGAAAGTTCTGAAGTAGAAGTGTTCCAATATGTGGGAAGACTGTCACCTGGAGTCTGTAAGTGACAAAGAGGGTAGGTGGGCATGACTGGTAACTGGAAAAGTGCATGGCTAAGAAGATAAATGACCAACAACATAAGGAGCTCCTTGTAAGTTCTTAAGAGGGTAGGGACCAAGTCTTCTTAATCTGTTTTATTGAGTGAATTCCCAACATGAAGGATGGTTCACCAAAATCATCTGACATAACCCTTACTTGTGTGGGGTCCACCAATTTAGCCCCATTTTCTTTGTGTGTGTGTGTGTGTGTGTGTGTGTGTGTGTGTGTGTGTGTGTATGTGTGTGTGAGATAGCATCTTACTCTGTCACCCAGCAGGCTGGACTCATTTTCAATAAAACTAGAATGTTAGTTTAAAAAAAAATTGTTTGATATTAGTTGCCACTCCGCAACCCACCCTAATATATTAAACTGCACACTTTCTGCATGGAGACAATGCAAACTGCTCTTGATAGAAGGGAATGATTTCACAATTGCTTCCCTTAGAAATGATTTTGGCTTTGATCCAGGAGATGGGGTAGGTGGGTTGGAGATAAGAATGGGGCTGGCAGAACACCTTCTGCAAAACAGTGGGCTAGGCTTTGAAAGAGAACTTGCCGTTACTTTGCTGCCATCTTCTTTGTTCTTTTAGAGACAGGGTCTCATTCTATCACCCAGGCTACAGTACAGTGGCACGATCACAGCTCACTGCAGCCTCAAACTCCTAGGCTCAAAGGATCCTCCTGCCTCAGGCTCCCAAGCAGCTGGGACTACAGGTGCATGCCACTATGCCCAAACTTTGCTACCATCTTATTTCAAACTCCCAGGATGTTGCAAACTAAGTTAAGGCATCAGAAAAGTAAGTGCCTCATTTCTATAACCCTTGACCTTTTTCTTAGTGACATAGGTAACTAACCAGACCCTGGAGGTCAACAACCAGAGAATAATAATTATAGAGAAGAAAAATAAAAGACTACAGACTAGAAAAAAATCATACCAATTGATCCAAGAGCCCCCCAAACACTCCCTCCCACCCCCAGTAAGCACAGCCTTCATTTTCTAGGACTTCAGAAATAACCAGATGTGGCTGGGCATGGTGACTCACGCCTGTAATCCCAACACTTTGGGAAGCCAAGGCAGGCAGATTGAGACCAGCCTGGGCAACATGGCAAGACCCCATCTCTACAAAACACAGCAAGACCCCATGTTTACAACATGGCAAGACCCCATCTCTACAAAAAAAAATTTTTTAAATAAAAAAAATTAGCCAGGTATAAGTAGCACATGACTATAGTCCCAGCAACTTGGGAGGCTGAGGCAGAAGGGTAGCTTGAGCCTGGGAGATGAAGGCTGCACTAAGCTATGATGGCATCACTGCACTCCAGCCTAGGCAACAGAGCAAGACCCTGTCTCAAAAAAAAAGAAAGAAAGAAAGAAAAAGGAAATGACCAGATGCCCATGACTGTTATCTAAGCAATCTGTCTCTCTCATCCAACAGTGTCCCCTGCCCCACCCACCATCTCCACACAGACACCTGTCACCTCAGTAATTAACTAAGGGGAAAAATCTGCATAAAAGTGAGAAGAGAGCTACATTCCCAGTCCCCACAACCGTCATGAAATTATCTAAATGTGAATGCCATATCAAACCCAAATGTGCTTCTCTTTGAAAAAAAACAAAATAAGGATCACCATCAGATGTCCCTTCCAAGTCAAAGGTCAGGAAGAATTTCCACTATGTCACTCTGAATCAGCAGCTGTGTATGACTATAAACAGACATAACATTTGGACATGCTTATGTTATATATACTTACATGTACACACAGAGACACATATGTCTCTGTTCTACCTATATCAAAAAAGGTTTTGGAGCAGGTAAGAAGTTCTTGTCCTCAACCACCAGAGTAATCCAATCATTTTCTGCCCTCAGTGAGGGCTCTAAGAGATACACAGCAGGAAATCTACCAGGGATCCTACATCCTTTCTCTAACTACTCACAGAGTCCTCATAGATAAATAAAATCATAGGTAAATAAAAAACAAAAAATGAAAACATTTTTAAATTTGACATCTAAACTTTCTGCTCCAACTACTGACAGAGCTCTCATATATAAATAAAAAAGGCAAATATTTAAAATTTTATATCTAATCTTTTTTTAATAGATAAAGGAATTTATTATGGAAATTGGCTTATGTGACTATCGAGACTGAGAAGTCCTATAATCTGTAAACTGGAAAACTAGCAAAAAGGATGAGTTCATGTCCTTTAGCTGGAAACCATCATTCTCAGCAAACTATCACAAGGACAGAAAACCAAACACCGCATGTTCTCACTCATAGGTGGGAAATGAACAATGAGATCACTTGGATACAGGGTGGGGAACATCACACAACAGGGCTTCTTGGAGGGTGGGGGGCTGGGGGAGGGATAGCATTAGGAGACATACACAATGTAAATGACGAGTTGATGAGTGCAGCAAACCAACATGGCACATCTAAACTCATCTTTTAAACAAAAGCAAGGCCAAGAGAATACTTGTTTCCCCTGAACCCCAAGTGTCATCTCCAAACTTTGATGAACTTTCAACCGAATAAGCTTAAAGCCACAGTCCAAGACAGCCATTGCTGTTATAGAAGAAAAGATTATACCGATACAGCTCTGTAATTTTAAACAAATCCCAGGGGCCCAGAAGGGGCTCAGACAAAGCATTCCTTGAAACCAAAAAACCCTCAGATTGACTGTATGGTTCAAAGATACACCTAGATTTTCTAATTTAATAATAAGGGTAAGTGTTTAAATACACAGGAGTGTAGGAAGCATTATAACTATGTTCGCCAGAGGAGATGACAGTCTAAATGAGAAACCTTCAGGAACTATCAGAAATATCAGCACAGATGTCTACATAGTATAGTCTTCAGTTTATAAAATGAAACTGCCATCAAAACCCAAAGTGAGCTAAAGCTTGTACTGAAATCTAGGCAAGCAAACAGTTGCTCTTTATCTTCCAAAACGCAAGGCTCTGCAGAATAAACTAGATCTATATTTTAGCAACCCACACTATATCATTTCAATATAAAAACATACTCTATAAAGACATAAAAATGATCTTCCACCACAAATTAACAAAATAGAAGAAATTCCCTTCATATGTGAGGAATAAATTTCAGCAATCTCAGCTAATAAGGACACCCTAAGAAAAGACAAGACATTTTTGTATCTTTTTTTTTTTTTTTTTTTTTGAGATGGAGTTTTGCTCTGTTGCCCAGGCTGCAGTGCGGTGGCACGATCTCGGCTCACTGCAACCTCCACCTCCTGGTATTTTTGTATTTTTTGACAGTAAAAATCTTATTTAAAGCCCAAAGAACAAGGTATTAAAAAGAAATTACAGTAGTGGTCCCACATCTTGATGGCACATTAGAATCACCTCAGAAGCTTTTTAAAAATCCCACTGACCAAGGCCCACATCAAATGTGTTACACTGGAATCTCTGGACATGAGACTCTAGCATCATTGTTTTTCTAAGCTCCCCAGGTGGACTGCAGTGTACTGCCATAGCTGGGAACCACCGAATTAGAGATTAGTCTAAAGATACCTTCCAAATCAGAGTTCCTCTTTGCAAGATCATGGGCCCTTGATATGCTGGGACAAGAAGCATTTGTCTAAAGCAAGTGTTTGTCTAAAACCACCAGCTAAGATGGTGCACTGTACAAGCCACCCACCCCCAACCCCAGGAGTGGGGCTGAGGACCATGTACAACCAGGCTTCCCAGCCATAAAATGCAACCCCGATGAGGCAGGGTCCAGGAAGCCACTAAGTCTGTATTTTCAAGGGGCATCTCCCTGACAACAATACAAGAAGCAGTGGAGACAGAGAGTGACATGAAGTGACACACAGGCCCAGCAGACCAGCATCATCCAGGGGCAGCACTATTTTCACAAGGCCATGCAGCCCCACTGTGACTCTGAGGGAAAATGCATATCCTCTTCACAAAAGTAATACAGAGAAATGTGTAAGTTTCTTAGCTGTTGCTCCTCTGTTGATAAAGCTGCAACATTCACTGTATCTAAATGTTCAAAGTCCTCAGTGTTTACCATCGATGCCCTCCGGGCTTCCCCTAACCTAAATCCAGCTTTAGATACTGTTGCTTGGTTTTATTTAAAAGTAAACTTCTGATGGGAATGGGTAGAGTGGAGATGTTTTTAAAAACTCCACAGGAACCAACGCATATTTGCTTTAAATTATTTAAAGGCAAAATTTTACCCAAAAATCTTAAATAAAAGGGAAATCAAAGATACTACAGACTTTTTAAAGACGATGTTTTAAATAACAAGAACATTTGAAAGCATAAATTTGGAAAGGCAGGAAAAAGTCATAAAATATGCAAAGCTTAGTTTCGTTGTTGTTGTTGTTGCTGTTGCTGTTCTTTTGGGTTTTTTTTTATTTTTTTGCTTGTGAGACAGAGTTTCACCCTTGTTGCCCGGGCTGGAGTGCAATGGCACGATCTTGGCTCACTGCAACCTCCGCCTCCTGGGTTCAATCAATTCTCCTACCTCAGCCTCCCGAGTAGCTGGGATTACAAGTGCCCACCACCACAGCCGGCTAATTTTCTTATTTTTAGTAGAGATGAGGTTTCACCATGTTGGCCAGGCTGGTTTCGAACTCCTGACCTTAAGTGATCCACCCGCCTTGGCCCCCCAAAGTGCTGGGATTACAGGCGTGAGCCACTGCGCCAGGCCAAAATTAGTTTTTTTAAAGAGAATTTTTATTTAAAAAGAGCGAACTCTACGAATCCTTCATAACATGAACTCTGAAGGCAGGCTCTGAATCACTGATGCTATGAGGCAGGGGCCCTCAGTCATGCCCCTTGGACTCTCTGTGCCTCACCTTACCTGTATGTCACAGGAGGTAAGCTTCTGGAGTCAAATTCAGATTCAGGTCTGCACATGTTAGCTATGTGAGCTCACCTAACCTCTCTGTGCTACCCTTCCTCCGCTGTTGTAACAGTGAAGGACAAATAATTACCTATCTCCTATGTGAAGAAATTGGAACCCCTGTGCTCTGCTGGTGGGAATGTAAAATGGTACAGCCACTGTGGAAAACAGTATGGAGGTTCCTGAAAAATTAAACATAGAATTATCATATGATCAAGCAATTCCACGTTTGGGTCTGTACCCAGAAGAACTAAAAGCAGGATCTTGAAAAGATATCTGTACACTCATGATCACAGCAGTCTTATTCATAATAGCCGAAAGGTAGAAGCAACCCAAGTGTCCTCTGATGAATGAATGGAGAAACACAGTGTGCTCTATCCAGACAATGTAATACTACTCGGCCTTAAAAAGGAAGGAAATTCTGGCACATGATACGACATGGATGAACCATGAAAATGTTATGCTCACTGAAATAAATCAGATGAAAAGGACAAATACTGTATGATTCCACTCATACGAAGTTCCTAGAGTGGTTAAATTCAGAGACAGAAAGTAGAATGGTGGTTGCCAGAGGCTTGGGGGAGAGGGGATGGGGAGTTCGTGTTTACTGGGTACGAAGTTTCAATCTGGGAAGATGATAAAGTTCTAGAGATGGGTAGTGGTGATGGTTACATGAGACCATAAATGTACTTAATGCTAGCGAACTGTATGCTTAAAAATGGCCAAAATAGGCCAGGCACAGTGGCGCACGCCTGTAATCCCAGCACTTTGGGAGGCCAAGGCGGGCGGATCACGAGGTCAGGAGATCGAGACCATCCTGGCTAACACAGTGAAACCCCATCTCTACTAAAAATACAAAAAATTAGCTGGGCGTGGTGATGGGCACCTGCAGTCCCAGCTACTCAGGAGGCTGAGGCAGGAGAATGGTGTGAACCCGGGAGGCGGAGCTTGCAGTGAGCTGAGATCCCACCACTGCACTCCAGCCCAGGCGACAGAGCTAGACTTCGTCTCAAAAAAAAAAAAAAAAAAAAAAAAAAAAAAGGCCAAAATGATAATTTTTATGTTTGTACATTTCACCGCAATTAAAAATAAAAATTAAAAAATGAGAAAGAATAGTACCTACCTCCTAGAGTTGCAGTGAGGATTAAACATACGGGAAGTGTTTAGCATGCGCCTGGCACACAGTAAGCCCTCCATGGTATCACTGCTATCTTACCTTCCCACCTTTGTAGCTCCCCACGGTCCCTGCCACAGTGTTTTACGTGAAAAGATGCTCACTGCCTAGACTCTGATTCTCCCCCTTGGAGCTATATACCTTCTGCGACAAAACATTTCTAGCCCTGGGCTTCTTTCCAGCATAAATAAACACGCCTTCATTTAGAGAAAACTCCCACTGCAACAGGATGAAGATGAAGAAGCCACCTATTTCTGAACTGAGTCTTCACCTTATATAAAGCTAAGACAACCCATTAAAAACAACCGATTCTACTGTCTTTATTTCCAAAATGGCTTGTTAATAATTTTGGCTCAAAAATAGTTTCAAAGACTATGGTTATCCTATAAATCTGACAGAAGAGAGAAGAAAGTCCCCTTGCTATTCATAAATATTCTCTCATTTTTATCATTACCAAGACTATTTTATTTATTTGCTTGATCCTTTTTAAAACGTTTTATTATTAAATTTCCAAGCACACACAAAAGGAGAGTTCAGCTAGCATCAGATTACCAGCTTCAAAGCCAATTTTAGCCCTTTTGACTCAAACACCTAAGACTCAAAAAAAAAATTAGAATAACACCATGAGCTACAATTGAAATAATTTCTAACTCTAACACAAATCATCATCACTATTTTTCTTTACTTTTAAAAGATCTTTTAAAAATATGTTTTCACCTCCTTTCATTTCTTCCTTTGAAACTTCAAATAATTTCACTGCTCACCTTGCTAGGTTATTGTGAGGATATAACGTATATGACGGCACATAGCTTGGTGTGTAGCGTGTATTAGTTCCTGAGAAATCCTAGCTCTCCACAGACTGCTGCCTCGTGCCACTCTCCAAGACTGAGACACACCCCCGATCTGTGGTGTTAAGAGGTATATTGGTTTTTGCCCACAGTTCCTGGCTCATAACTCCCACAGCCCTTATTGTGGGTGTGTTAGGCCATGTTGGGTGTTTTAGGCCTCAGGGGCAGGCCTCTGACCTCCTGCCCTCCTTTGACTGTATGTTCCCTCAGCTTTCTGATAGTGGGTCTTAAGACCCTTCCATGAGAGAGTCCCACCCTATACTTTGGGGGAAGGAATGCTGATGTCATGAAGCTTCCGTAAAAACCCAAGGGGAAAGGGTTCAGGGAGCTTCCTGATAGCTGAACACACGAAGGTCCCTGGAGGGTGGAACACCCAGGGAGGGCATGGAAGCTCCACACCCCTTCCCCTATACCTTGCCCTGCACGTCTCTCCGTCTGTATCCTTTGCAATATCCTTTATAAAAAACCAGTAATCATAAGTTTTCCCCTGAGTCCTGTGAGCCTCTCCAGAAAATTAACCACACCCAAAGAGGAAGTCATCAGTCAGAAGTTCAAGAGGCCAGGACTTGTGACTGTCAGGGAGCGAGGGGGACAGTCATGGGGACTGGGCCCTCAACCTGTGGGATCTGACACTATCTCTGGGTAGAGAGTGTCAGAACTGAATTAGAGGACATCCAACCGGTGCCTGCCACTTGGTGTATGGGGAAAAAACCCACACATTTGGCCACAGAAGCCTTCTTCTGTGTTGATGATTGTTGTAGTGTGAAGAGTAGAGGAAAAACGCAGTTAGAGAGTTTCCCCTACACACCACCACATACACATCATTCTCCATTCTTTGTCCTCTACTCCTCTTTTCCCTTTCTAAACACTGGTCCTGGCTTCCTTCCTTCCCCTCCACCTCCTTTTACACCAAGGATCCGAAACTCAAATGCCTAGTCACAAATTAAATCATCAAGAAGACCCCAAATACAATAAGTGGCTAAACTGAACTGATAAATGTATTTCACAAATAGGGCACCTGTTCCTGAATTAACTATAAAACATACCTCTTTATTATTTATAACTATACAGAACATCAGGCTAGATGCTAGGTTGTATAATAATCACAAACAGGAATTCACATGCAGGTCATTCGTGCTGTGTGTGTATGTGTGTGTGTGTTTAAGTTTAAACATTAAACTTCTTTTTTGATGATCTAAGAAGTTTTATCTGATAATGAGATTCATTTCTTTGCAGTACTTCTCACCTGTGGCAGACCTGCCACCTCTAATTTGCTTTAAAAAGAATTCTAATCACCCAATCAATCATGCTCTTGGCCTTCAGCCTTCACAGCCACTTCACTGTGGTCAAAATTGGCTCTAAAATTCCTGTTGTAACAGTTCTGTTGTCCTCAAGTTCCAAAATGCCAATGACAGGGATATAATTTAAACAAACCTTCTCATTGATGAACAACGACAACAAAAAAAATCGTACATGGAGTTTCTAATTTGTTTTCTAACAAGACTCTTTAAATAAAAGTGAATATCTATGATATTATTAAATAATAACTTTTCTCCCATTGGGGTTTAGAGATTTATAAATCATCCAAATTTCTTGTAGTGAAGCTAGTCTCTTCACCACAAAAATCACATGGCCCAGTGTTGTGGTTTTAAATGCCATCTTTTATAATGTAGATATACAGAATGGTCAAGTAATAATCCCTCCATCCCCACCTCCTCCCCTCCTAGCATGCATGCAACCTTAATTGCATCAGCATCCATCTTTCCTGCTCACATCCTATGTGGATGCAAGCAGAAGCTTTCTTGCCTAGGCCAAAGCCTCATGGCTCACTCATTTCAGCACATAATTTCTCCTACTAAAACAAAAAGCATCCCCTCTCTTGACAAACCTCCCTTCATAGCTACAACCCCCTCTTTCACGGCCTTGTATCCTTCTTTCCCAAGAAGGCACTGAGCCATAAACACTAAACACTTCTTGTTCGCAATTCCTCATCCATTCACCTCTCACCTCTCAACCCAGTGAATTCTGGATTCTGCTCTACCACTGCACTGGAGCTATTTCCAACAGTGTCACCAATACCCTCCTATTTACTCAATCCAGTAGCCACTTGTCAGTGCTTTTCTTACTTGAATTCTGTGCGGCATTGGCCGCCATTGGTTGCACATTGGTTGCACCCTCTTCAGAACTGTGCCTTCCCTCAGTTTTTGTGGCCTCTCTTCTGGCCTTCCCACCTCCATGAACGCTCCTACTCATCTTCTTTAAGGATCTTCCATCATCCCTATCACTGAATAACCCCAGAGTTCCATCTTTGGCCCTCTCCTCCCTCTACTACATATCCTTTTTTGGTCTCATCTACCTACAAATATAATAGGCTTGAATTGCCAATTATACACCAAGGTCTCTTAAATATTTGTATTTCCAACACCAGTCTCCCTTAAAAGCTCCAGGCTACAGGTGCACCTGTCTATGCAGGACTTCTCCACTTGGGTGTCCCTCAGGTACCTCAAACTCAACACAACCAAATCTAATACCACCTTCTGCATTTACTACCTGGGTGAATGGTATCAACCACCACCTGAGTACCCAATCCAGAAAACTGGGAGGTATCCTTTAGTCTTCCTTCTCTTCAATTCCTCATATCCAGTCAGGGGCCAGGCCTGATTACTTCCAAATCCCATATCACTCTGGCATTTGTCCATCTCTCCATTTTGTCTATTGCTGACAGTTCAAGACTTCATCATCTCTCACTGAGATTACCAGAAGTACAACACAAACGTAGTTCTCTGCCACCAATTCACACACATGCCTCTGGCCTGCTCTCCAGGCTGCTGTCAAAATGATCTAAAACAGAAGTCTTAAAGGTCACTTTTCTGCTTAAAACTCTTCAGAAAAATCTAAAGTCTTTTGCCTTCATAATTTATTTCCTGAATACCTGACCAATCTCATGTCTTGTCATCAACTACCTCCCTGGAAACATCAGCCATACAGACACATGTGTCATACAAACATAGCTCCCTCAGCCAAGGAAAGGTCTCCCAGCCCCTTCACCTGCTTACCTCCTGTTCATTCTGACAACCCCCACTCCGAGAAAACCTTCTCTGACTCGATCTGTCTGGGTTAGGTAACCAACCCTCCTTTCTGACCTCACAGCATGTATCTGTCTACCTATCTAACAATGATCACCCATATTATCAATTTTTATTGTAATTGTTGACTTATTAGTCTCCCCTACAGACTATGCACTCTTTGGAGTAATAAAATAGTATATCTTAT
Organism: Homo sapiens; assembly: GCF_000001405.40. Taxonomy (NCBI): domain Eukaryota; kingdom Metazoa; phylum Chordata; class Mammalia; order Primates; family Hominidae; genus Homo; species Homo sapiens. The sequence goes on along the minus strand of NC_000006.12, from coordinate 5,291,875 downwards.
TAGACTTTGTATATACAACAGTTTGCACATCTTTGTAAAATTAACAAATGAATACTCATAAAGAAACCTGATTCTTCATTAAATATATTCAATATTTAATTCTTTTTCTTTTTTTTTTTAAGAGATGGGTCTTGCTGTTGTCCATACTGGCTTGCAGTGGCTCAATCACAGCTCACTTTAGCCTCAAACTCCTGGACTCCCGTCTTAGCCTCTCTAGTAGCTGAGACTATAGGCATATGCCAACACACTCAGCTATTCAATATTTAATTCTAAGGGTAAAAAGGATTGATAAATCTCTCACTAATTATCAGTACCAGAAAGACTAAATAATTATTTTTTGTAAGAAAGATCTCAGACTTCATTTTCTTAAAAATTGTAAAAATCAAAGAAGATTCTTTCCCCCAAATTGGATAGTTTAGGAAGTTGGGATCACCATCGGCCTCTAAAGCCTCTTCACCCACCTCCCGCCTAACTCTCCAGGACCTCACCTTCAGAGAACTGTTTTTAGCAGCACTGGATTTTGGAAAAAAGTTTAGAAGGTGTTCAACTTATTCAAAATCAGCATCCTACTAAAATCCCAATGATAAATGAGAGGATCGAGGTTAAGCACCAGCTTCTTGTGGTTAGATCTTATATGAGATCATGTCAACAAGACTGAATTAATCAAAATGACTAGGAACTTATTAGGTAAATGCTAACAAAGCCTGTTCTTCATGGTAAATGCACATCGCACCATAAAGTTTCTACAACTATTTCTGAAGTGTATGAAAATGACAAAAATACAGGTAGATTCTTATATACACTATATGCTTCAAGAAGACATTTGGAAAGAAATTTTCCTTCTAAGATTAGCACAGGCTAGGCATGGTGGCTCACACCTGTAATCCCAGCACTCTGGGAGGCTGAGGTGGGAGGATCACTTGAGTCTAGGAGTTCAAGACCAGACAGGGCAACATAGTGAAACCCTGTCTCTACAAAAAAGTTAAAAAGTAGCTGGGCATGGTGGTGTGTGCCTGTGATCCCAGTTACTGGAGAAGCTGAGGTGGGAGGTGGAAGGCTGGAAGGAGGTGGAGGCTACAGTGACCCATGATTGTGCCACTGCACTCCAGCTTAGGGGACAGAGTGAGAACCTGTCTCAAAACAAACAAACCAAAGATTAACACAGTGCTGCCATTCTAGAATTATTTAAAGCCACCCCCAGGGGGATAAAAGGGAAATACTACCAACTAAGGTTGAGCTCATCAACCAATCACAGGTCATCAAAATAGGAGTATGTCAACCTAGAATTTTTGTCCTTCAAGTAGAAAAACTGAGCTACTTTCTACATTTAGCACATTCTGCTTTAAAAATTCCTATATTATTTAATATAGGCTGTCTTGTTTTCTAACTTTGAAAATTTAGAAATAAACATATTGTGCATTTTAAGTTGTCAATTTAAAACAGATACCCAAATTGCTGTGATCTTTTCTGCCATGGAGTTTGCAATCTCAGAGGTAACTTAAATGCAGTCTGTGAGATACCATGGTTTCTGTCCACAGAACCTGCCAGCTTTGTACAAAAAGTGAACTACCTACCTAGAGAAACCTCTGTATCAGGAAGCATGAGTTGTCAAGCATTACTGTTTCCCTCACACACACAGTCACTTGCCATAGTAGTCGGTACAAAACAGATAAATGGGGGTAAAATGTCATTGACTTAAGACTTTTGTTGAAGGGTATGGATATCAAAATATACCAAAAATCAACTTTCCTGTAGTTTCAGGAAATGTAATACACAGCAAGCTATTTCTTATTTCTGTCCAAAACTATTTTACACTTTAAAACACCATTATTTAATATAAATATTGAAAATTTTACACTCTCTAACTAGCTTTTGAAAAGAACCATGAACACAAAAGAGTGGAATTCCTTCTGTTTTGGATTTTCTCTGGTGCAAGAATTCAAACTGAGGCAGGAGAATAGGGTTTGGAGGCAGGGAACCTAAGGCCAATTCACACTGACTTCCTACAACTAAATCAAAAGGAAAACCCCAACTTTCCATGCCCAAGTAACAAAAGAACCAGAGGCTACTCCTCCCTGCTCTTCTCCATGTGGCAGATGAAAAATTGAAAGTATCTCTGATTGGTCCCCTCCTGCAACAAATCAGACTGGTCACAGGCCAAGTCTTCATTTGCACTGGAGTATAACCTTGTAACTTCACTTCAGCCTCTGATTAGTCCCCTCCTGCAACCAATCAGACTGGTCACAGGCCAAGTCTTCATTTGCATAGGAGTGTAACTTTGTAACTTCACTTCAGCCTCTCATTAGTCCCTTTCCGCAACCAATCAGACTGGTCGTGGACCACTACTTCATTTACACAGAGTGTACACCAAGTAACCAGTGGGAACCCTCTAGAGGGTATTTAAACCCCAGAAAATTCTGTAACTGGGCTCTTGAGCCACTTGCTCATGCCCCTTTCCATTCTGTGGCATGTACTTTCAAAATCTGTGGTTTTCTTTCATTGCTTTGTTTGTGCGTTTTGTCTAATTCTTTGTTCAAAACGCCAAGAACCTGGACACCTTCCTCCAGTAACAAAACCAGTGCCTGATTTGGCAAATAAACAAGCAATTCTATTATTTCCAGTCTTTGGAGCACTGGTAGAAAGCATAGAGTACTCAAACTTCTAAGCATTAAAACTCAAATGTAATCCCTTGAGTTTTGGCTTAAATCTGGAATTTGATTCATGTTACATGTTAAGTGTGTCATCAAAATATTTTATTAACATTTTCTTCCATTTTAAAAAATATTTCAGTTATCAATGCTAAAATCAATCATCAAAATTCTCCCACTCTAAGGGCATGCTGATTGTGAAGAAAGTGTAGTAAATGTAGGAGTAATATTCTTAATGATTCTAATGTTGAGAGCTGAATATCTTAGAAATTCAACCTAGAATAAATGACTTGATCTACAGCTATATATGTTTACAACAGCCCTAAAATTTGCAACATTTTCATGATGGAGAAACCAGACTCAAAAACTGGGTTGCTTAAAATCAGAATCAATGAAGTGATGGCAAAGACTGAACAATAGCTGTTTCCTCTCACCTATGTCTTAAAAAGCCAGTGGAGAGGTATTTTTTCTAATTCTCTGTCTTTTAAGAGCATTTTCTTGAGCTCCATGAGAAGAATGGAAGCTGCATGAGAGCAGGGATTTTGTCCCCAGTCCGCACCTCCATATACTGCCAGCACCTACAACAGTGCCCAGCACGTACATATACTTGTTGAATGAATGGGAGAATCCAACCACATATATTCAAAACCACAGATCACGGCTGTGTTCTAGAACAGTTCTCATCAAACTCAGTAGCATTAGAAAGTATATTTGGTGATTCGTACAGTGCACAAGTGAGAAGAACAACCTGGACTTCACAATGAGGTATCAAACGAGGTGCTCCAGAAAGAAGTGATGATCCCAAGTGTTCTGATAGTGATTCCCTCTTGGAAAGCAGGAGGGATTGGTGTTTGGGAGAGGCTCAATGCTTATGTAATGTTCTTTTTTGACTAGGATGGTCAGGGTATTTGCTTTGTAATAATTTACTGAGGTTAAAAAAGAAGAAGAAGAAGAAGTCACTTCAAGCTATTGACTACAAACATCAAAAGAAGTAGACAGCAAGATCTCAGGGCAGATGGTTGGACAAAACATGAAAGATGATCACTGGACTCAGCACAGTGGGAAAGCAAGACCCAGAGGAGATCTTTGTCACCCAGTCCTGGCTGTGACGTTGCCAACGAGCAACATGGGAACAAACATGTTGGATGCAGTGACACTCCCTGGATAAATATGAGGAGGGCTCTGGGAACAAGGCAGCTGGGAGGAAGGAAGATGACAGAAGGGAGAGGAAAAGAGAAAATATTACAGGAGAACATGACAGATACCTGCACTACCTTAATAATAATCAGAGGCCTCTGTGACTGTTTTCCTCATCCCCAGCCTCTGTCTTCAGTAGAGTGAACAGCTTTAAATTTCCCAAGTGTGGCCACAAAGATGAGTCATCTCTTGAAAAAAACAACTGGAGCCACATGGGGCTGGAGTAATTTGAAGAAGAGCTCCGCATCTTAAGGAATTCCCCGTGTGTACTAACAGTGTTTTTCTGGAAGAGGGTGACATCCAACCATTCAAATAAACAGAGCTATTTCTGATACAGAATTTGTGGCATTCTATGAGGTCCTCCAAGGGAGCAGCATCGACAGAAAGTAGGCCAACTCTCTAAGATTCTTTCTGTGGGACGGGGAAGGGCTATGAGGTGGGAGAAAGCATGAAGGAACAGCAGCCCGAATGTCCCCTCATTGGGCTCGCACCAGGCCAGGGGCAGGCTAATTTCAGGGACACGGGAGAGCAAGAGGAAACAGGCAATGGAAAAATGGCCACTCTCAGTGCCAAAAAGAGAATCAGGATAAAAAGAGGAAACAGTGCGGCCGGGAAGGAACAGGCTGTGGGATGGGCTGAGGACACCTCCGTGAGCAGTTCTGAGCACTAGAACAGGATGATAACACGGACCACTCCACCATTTCTCTTCTCTCTTCCCCACTAGCACCACTGCCACCTCTGACACAAGGTCCACAGCAAATGTCTACAGCCCAGTTCCCCACAAACAGAGCTGAGAAGCCAAGTCAGGCAAAGGAATGCCTCGGGCTCAACATGCAAAATCAAATCTGAACACTATATCACACCCGGGAAATTTGCTTTGCTTTGGAAAGAATCAACACCAAAACCAAATTGAACTTGTCTGGCTCTTTACCTAAAGAGCTAACCAGGCTACCAGTAAAGCTGGAGCTAACAGGCAGCCCTCAACAGAGCCAAGCCACGGGGCAATGGCCATGCTCTGTGCTCCACAGGCGGCCAGGCCTGGGGCCACAAGTGCAGCGAGTCTTCCTGTATTAGGTCTGATGAGGTCAGGCTTTCTGCACTACGGGTTCAGAGGCGAACATGCCCCGGGAGGAGTTTCTCACTCTCAGAAAGATTCTGCAGTGGCACCAAAATTAACATGGAAATTATTTAACATATAGAAACTGTTCTCTCTCACACACATACACACATGCCAACATATGTGTTACATACATAATAATAAAGTATACATTATGCATGTTCTATATACATAATTATATGGTATTAATGTATTTGGTACCCATATCATACATGTATTTTATAAATCGCATTGAATATAATTATGTATATAATACACACACACTCATACACATATACGTAATTTATTTCTACATACAGAGTGATAGAGCATGGGTAGTAAAACACACTTTATATTCTGAATAGAAGTACAGATTGGTCAGGCACAGTGGCTCACACCTATGATCCTAGCAGTCTGGGAGACCGAGGCAGGCAAATCACTTCAGCCCAGGAGTTAACAGTCTGGGCAACATGTAGAAACCCCCTCTCTACAAATAACACAAAAATTAGCCGGGCATGGTGACATGCAACTGTAGTCCCAGCTACTTGGGAGGCTGAGGCAGGAGGATCACTTGAGCCCAGAAGGTCAAGGCTGAGGTGAGCCAAGATCACACCCCTGCACTCCAGCCTGGGTGACAAAGTGAGACTCTGTCTCCAAAAAAAAGTAAAAACTTAGTGCCCTTATGATAAGCACCACAGGATACTATAAGGAAACATGGACAGTCAGATTATAATTCTATCTAGGAACAAGGGGTCAGTGTTGACCCCACTGACAACAATCAATCCAATGTTCAATTTAGAGTGTACTAAATGCAAGCCTATGAATTAAAGTGTCTGGAAATCAAGTATTTAGAAGATGAGCGAAAAAGGTTACCTTTATCCTGGAGAAAGAGACATAAGAAGGGAACAGCTATCACATGTGAAATGTTATGATGCAAACAGAGGAAGTGTTCTAGGCAGGTGTATGAGACCGTGGGTGGGAAGGACAGAGCAAAGTGAAGAACCATATTCTCCACAGGTATGAACTTTCTTAACAATTGGGACAAACAACTGGAGAGAAGAAGCCCCGTGCAAAGAAGCAGCACCCAAGACTGAGGAATTCCAGGGAATGCCGCGAGGCCTCTCAGGAGTGCTGAGGGTGACTGCTAGCTGGGCTTCATGGCCCCTTACTACCCACAGAGATAACATCACTGAGACAGACACTGAAACTTGACCTAAATGGTTTGATTGACATTTCAAGAGATATGAACGCCTTCTCTACCTGCCCTAAAGCTGCTGATATGGAACTGCTAATGGAGAGATTTGAAAAGCAGTCTTGCCTGAAGAGAGAATGCACTTGCTGATGCAGCCTTACATTCAAGGAATAACTGCGAGCACCCACCATGTGCAAAGATGAGTCCCCCATGGTCCTCCGTGTCCTCCTACACGCTTTACGAGTCTCTCAAAAGTAGCTGAGAACAGCATTTTGCTCACAAAGGTATAATACACATTAAGAAAAATGTTCAGAGGACTTAAAATGTCTATTCTCCTCAAGAACCAAACCCCACTCTTCTCAGCACAGGCCTCATCCTCCGGCAGCTGGTGTTCCCCCATCAGTCTCTCTAGATCCTGCCTTCCTCCCCTTCTCCCTCTGGACTCCTCCTCCAGCTTATTGCTCCCCTCGGTCGCCTCCTGGACACTGCTCCCTTTGGCCTCTTCCGTCACTGCATCCGATGCTTCTCACCCTGACTGCTTCTGCACCTCAGACAGATCAGGCTCCTGTCAGCCTCTCCCTCTCCAACCTGTGGCCTTTTCTTTCTCGCTTCAAGTCTCTTGAAATCTGTATTTGTTGCCTGCCCCCTTTGCTGTCACTTTTTCTCCTTGCTACCTGGCTTCTTAGAGCCAGGCACATGGAAGGCACTCCACACATGCTGGAGCCAGGATCCTTAACAAAACGTTAGAGGTTGAGTGAGAAGCTGACTTGGGGTGGGGGTGACGACTGAGTTTGTTTCAGACACATTGAGTTCCAGGTGATGGCAGGCCATGCAGATGAACATGTTAAGCAATGCTTGAGAGAGGCCCATGCCAGTGATCACCGGAGTCGAAAGGCCACGGAGGGAGGCTCTGGGGAGAAGACAGAAGCGCTGAGAGGAGGAAGACCCACCAAGGACCACAGAGCTCAGCTCTTCACATCACAGAAGAGGAGGGAGAACATTTCAAGAAGGTGAAATGAGAACACTAGTCAGGGTGTGAAATGCCACAGATGAGTTGAAGGGGATGGAAGACAGTAAACAAGGTGAGGGAGTGTTAATGTAATCACCAGAAGGCGACTGGTGATCTCTGAAAAGTAGTTCCAGTGATAAATAACATATAAAACATAAGCACTATTTATGATCTATATGCAGAAATCTCAAATAAAATGTTAACAAACAGAACCCAGAAGCCATGGAAGAACACTGCACGACAGCCAGAGCAGGTGGTGGATTGCAGGCACACACCCCATAATTCAAGATAGGAAATCTATTTCTCTAACTTGTCCTACGATCGAAAGAGAAACAGCATACCATCAGCTCCCCAGACATTGGACCAAAGTTAAAATTCCCTCTTAAGACAAATAAACTTTTAATAAAATAGGAAGACTGTTGCCTTAATATATCCACCAAAACTCCAGAATAGTGATTTATGAGAAACCATCACCAGCACTCCATATAAGTCCAACCTCTGAATAGCAAAATGAGAATGAGCTAATGACAGAACGATCCCCCGAAATGAATTACAAATGCCTCTGAAAGCTGTAACAAGGTGCTCAATAGCATTCATGAGAGAAATGCAAATTGAAATGACAATTAGATAGTATTTTTAATGTGCAGTTTGGGAAAGATCAAATTGTTTGATAACACTATCAGTAAGGGTCTAAGAAAGAGGCATTGCTGGTAAAAACCTTTGTAGAAGATAATTTGACAATATCTATCAACATTTTAAATGCATATATCCTTTATTTCGGCAAGCAATAATTTAAACCTACATATATACCTGTTTGTATGTGTGCAAAATGATGCCTGAATGAGGATATTATATTCACTAAACAATTTGTAAAAGCTGAAGACAGGAAACAAATTTTTATTGATTGGGGACTGGCTAAGTAAATTAAGAATAAGGCACCTCTACATGTATTGATACATTTGATACAGGGTATCTGTGAGATATACTGTTAAAGGATAAAAACAAGAATAGTGTGAATGGTACCTGACACCTTTTAGAAATGCGATATAAATGTAGTTTATGCATATACATGCATATATAAGAAAATGTCTAAGACCAGGTAAGAGCTGAAGGACAGAGACAGGAGAGAAGCTGATTTTTCATCCTGTATGTATTTATGCCTTCTGATTTTTTTTTTTTTTTTTTGAAACAAAGTCTCGCTCTGTTGCCCAGGCTGGAGTGCAGTGGCGCAATCTCAGCTTACTGCAGCTTCCACCTCCTGGGTTCAAGCAATTCTCCTGCCTCAGCCTCCCGAGTAGCCAGGACTACAGATGCCCACCAAGACGCCTGGCTAATTTGTTTTTTTTTTTTTTTTTTTTTGAGACAGGAGTTTCACTTTTGTTGCACAGGCTGGAGTGAAATGGCACAATCTCAGCTCACTGCAACATCCACCTCCCAGGTTCAAGTGATTCTCCTATCTCAGCCTCCTGAGTAGCTGGGATTACAGGCGCATGCCAACATGCCCAGCTAATTTTTGTATTTTTAGTAGAGATGGGGTTTCTTCATATTGGTCAGGCTGGTCTCAAACTTCTGACCTTAGGTGATCTGCCTGTCTCAGCCTCCCAAAATGCTGGGATTACAGGTGTGGGCCACCATATCCTGCATTTTTTTTGAATTTTTAGTCGAGACAGGGTTTCACCATGTCAGCCAGTCTGGTCTTGAACTCCTGACCTCAAATGATCCACCTGCCTCAGCCTCCCAAACTGCTGGGATTACAGGTGTAAGCCACCGTGCCTGGCCCTTGAATGTTATACTATATGCATTGCAAGCCACTAGGCTTTATGGCCACTCTCTCCTTTATCCCTGCTGTTCAGCCAGCCTCTGTCTGGACAATATCTCTGCCATTTGGCCCTCCTTTCCACCCTCATCACAATGGACATAATGTAGAGACCCTCAGCATCTTCCTCCTGGAGAATTAAAACAGCCTTTAACCACTTTCCCTTTTAAATAACTTATCTTCTCTGATTGACGCTAGGCACCATTCCTGGACCCACCTTTCTAAAGCACCAGTTTATTAAGTTTCACAAAATCAGGGTTCCACTTAGCCTATCAAAGTGCTCCACACGGGCCCAAGCCCCTTTCTCTTCCAGGGACTAAATCGCACACTCCAGCTGATCAAAACTCGAACAGCTGCTCTTTTTTTCCCTACCACTAACCCTCAACTCCGGTGGCCTCCTTTATCAGGAATGCCCATGTCATGATTGTCTCCCTTCCCCATATGCACCGGCTAAAATGGCTCGTGGCCTTCAGCACCTACTGAAACCACCACCAACCTCAGGCGCTTCCCCTGGTGTCCGCCTGGGATGTGAATGCTCCCTCCCCTAAGCGCCATGGACCATGTGTTTCTTTTGCAACCCCTGAAATAGGCTGCCTCTCATGCCTGCTTGCTGCTGCTTCCTTCTAAGCAGCCACGGCAATGATAGGCTGCATGCCCTGCTCTGTTCCTCAGTCTCCTGAGCAGTGAGACTCCCTAGCAATACAGAGCAAGTCCTCTGGCAAGGTAACACTTTCCTTGAAATTCCAAAAATTCCTATTGCTCATTAAATGACTAAAAAGCCATCTGAATCCCTACATTTCAATGTACTTATTTTGCATGGTTGCACAGCATTCACAATGGCATTATACTGACAAGCTAGGAAGTATTAAAAATATTACATAACAGTTACTGATTCTTTTTGCCTTCTCAGTGCAGACTGGTAAAGTTTGGAGTATCAAGCACATACTCAAGACAGTCCATTTTACCACCTGTCACTTAAAAGTCATTTTCTAGAATTATTGTTTTCTTAAATGAGAGAAATGATCTGACTCCGGGTGAACACATAAGGTTAGTGATGGCTAGGAGCACTGACTAAATTGAATGGTTTCAGGTCCTCGAGAAGTGTCTACCATTTCCCAATACAAGGCAATTATGCATTTAGTTAGGATACAGTCACGTTAAAGGAGGTGATCCCTGTAGACACACAGAGAGATATCATTACTATATATTGGTTCGGACAATCACTGTGGACAACAATTTTAAAATATCATCAAATTCACAGAATAGTGGTTACCGGGGGCAGGGGGGGTGGGAGAATGGGGAGCTGCTGTTTAAGGAGTACAGAGTTTCAGTGTGGGATGATGAAGTTCTGAAAAATGGATGATGGTGGTGTTTTCCTCAAGCATGTGAATGTACTTAATGCCACTGAACTGCACACTTAAAAATGGCTAAAATGGTAAATTTCATGTTATATATATTTTACCACAATTTTAAAAATCCACCATGAAACATGACTTTTAAGCATTTTTTTGACACAGTAAAAACAAAACAACTACAGGTTCTTTTCATTTCTAATTTAAAGACGGAAATAAGACAAAATAAGTGAAAGAACAGCAGTTTATTTTAAACCTGATGCCTCTAATACATGAATTATTAAAGTTTATGCTATTAAATCTTTTTAAGTCTTACCTTCACTTGTAAAGTATTTATATATTATTAAGGCTTAATCTGCTAATTCTTCTTTCTTAAATCCCATGCTTTGTTTAAGAAGCTTTTAGACTCTATGACCAATACATGCTATGTAGTCATAAGACAACAGTTGCATAAATACTTGCTGACAACGGTTAGCCCTACAAAGGAAATTGTGGAAGACTCGAGTACAAAGTAAACCCAATCTTTACTCCCCAAAGTGTCATCCCTCAAACTAAAGTCCAGGATAGCTCCAGCCAATCTGACAGAATACAATTAAAATAATATAAATCAAAAATTAAAAATGGAAGGAAAATACAATGCCAATAGTAAATCATAAAATGTCACTAAAAACATAAGATCTTCTACCCCTACATACTTCTTAACTAAACCTTAAAATATACCTACAATATATTGAAAAATGAATTATACACAGTGTATAATTTACTGTAAACCTACATACTTTCTGAGGCTGCGAAGGCCTAACAACTCAAGTAGGAATCATTAGAAACCTAAAAATAGGACAGGAGACGTTATTTTTTGATTAAAAAAAAAAAGAATGGCTGGGGAAGGCCTATCTGAGGAAGTAAACTTTAAATCAAGATTAAAAAGATAAGCCATTCAAAAAGACAGTTTCCAGATAAAGAAACTGAAGTATCAAGGTAGTCAGATGGGAAAGGCTTAGTATGTTCTAGAAAATGATTTTAGTTTATTCTACAGCTGTCTCATTAAACTTGAAACACCAAGCAAAGCATTTAACTGACACCCAAATCTATTCCAATGGCGAAGTTAGACAACAGTCCATATATTATCCAAGGCAGTTCTCCTTCTCCCTCTAAATCACCTGCCTGTCATTTCGCATCTCTTGAAGCACCAACTTCTGAGTGGGCATGTACAGAAAGAGCAATTAATTTTGTTACTTCTTAGAAGAGAATAGGCTTAAATGAGTTTCTGAATTACTGTGAATTTTAACTAGCTGTGTTCTTCCATGCCACTATTCATATGAGTAATCAAGATATTTTCATCATAGGTTGAACAGTTTCCATTTAAGGGCATGCTATCATTATTTATGCCAAGGGCAAAAAATGCACATAGACTTCAAGCAGCAGTATCCAGGAAATGTAGCTGGCTGCCATGCAGCCACAGCACTGTCACTGCTCCACAGACAGCTCATAGATAGAGGACCAAAAACACCCCTAGCCTTCAAAAGACAGGACTAAGGGGAAACTAGGTGTTTTCAATGCCTTTGCCTAGTGTAACGGTTAGTCTTACGTCAACATGACTGGGCCTTGGGGTGCCCAGATATTTGGTTAAACATTATGTGGTGTGTCTATGAGCATGTTTCTGGATGAGATTAACACTTGAATCAGCAGACTTAAGTATAACGGATTGCCCTCTCCAATGTGGTGGTCCTCATCCAATTCACTGAGGTCCTGAATAGAAAAATGGCTGAGTAAGAAAGAATTCTCTCTTTGCCTGTCTTTCAAGCTGGGACACTGGCCTTCTCCTGCCTTTGAACTTGGACCTGGACTAGAACTTACACCATCCACTCTCCTGGTTCTCAGGTCTTCGGTACTGAACTGAAACTTATGCCATGTGCTCTCCTGGGTCTCCAGGTTGCCAACTACAGATCTCGTCTTCCTTATTTTATATATATATAAAATATATATATATACACACACACACACACACATTTATATTTTTTATTTTTTCTATATTTATTTATAGAGAGAAACTAGCCAAACGAATACACTCAGCAACTCACTCAACTCCATTTATATACACTTGTCATTCTGTTATCTTTCAATCTTCTCACTGCATTTTCAACTCAAGATTGCTTTCTTTTTTTCTTTTTCTTTTTCTTTTTTTTTTTTTGAGAGGGAGTCTTGCTCTGTCACCTAGGCTGGAGTGCAGTGGTGCAATCGGCTCACTGCAACCTCCGCCTCCCGGGTTCAAGTGATTCTCCTGCCTCAGCCTCCCGAGTAGCTGAGACTACAAGCTCATGCCACCATGCCCGGCTAATTTTTTGTATTTTTAGTAGAGACGGGGTTTCACCGTGTTAGCCAGGGTGTTCTCGATTTCCTGACCTCATGATCCGCCCGCCTAGGCCTCCCAAAATGCTGGGGTTACAGGCATCAGCCACTGTGCCCGGCCTCAAGATTTTCTAATCTCACATCCCTGGCTGTGTTCATCACAGCACACCATCCTCAGTTCAAGTTCTCTTTCAAAGACCTACACAAAGCATCTGCAAGACACATCACCAAGACCTCTGAACAGTATGGACAGTAGGGCCACAAGCAAGCGCTGAAGCCACCTGTCTTGTTGTGCACTCAAGGCCTCCTGAGGATGCCTGAAGACTCTATCCTCCTCTCTACTTAGTGGAAGCCAAACCATCTAGGCATTTCCTTTCTCTCTGCATTTCTTTCAGAGAGAGAAAACAGAACCTCTCTTGCTGGGAAGAGCTGAAGTGTATCACACGGGGTGGAGAGGGGGAAGGCTGCATCTCATACCCAATTAATTCAGAGTCAAATGTGGAAATCATGTGACTCATGTCAGGGTTTGATGGGTTTCTTTTTTAGCCTAATAAAGAAAAGACCATTGCTAACTAAACAGGAAAACCTAGTGAGGTTGAATAGTTATGGAGAATAATGTTAAAGAATGTATTTTAAATCTACACACATTAAAACATACATCAAGTATTTTACTAATAAAAATAAGGCTTCTTTCAAATAAAGTACGCCATTAACATCGTCATTTTTAGTAAAAAACTTTGTGTAAAAATCCCTTCGTTTTACCATATTTTGAAGAAACCATAATCTTCTGCTATTAAAACACCATGCAAGTTAAAAAAACAACCAACCAAAAACCAGCGTTCCTATTAGACCCCAGCACTCGTGGCAACAATACCAAGCTCTGTCTACACACCCTCCTTATTGCAGAAAACCAAAGCGCACTAATGAGAATATGTTCTGAATCTTTGCAATGTCCCTAGGGGTGAGGAGAGAATAGGTTATTTCAGTTCTGCTTTAGACTGAAGAAAGTAAAGGAGGAAAAGGTCATTTACTCACAGATCACACAAGCTAGGGTACAGCCAGAGCCGAACTCTCATCTTTCAGGGCTCTGTTCAGTCCTTCCCCATTTCAGGATCACACTGTGATAACTGAAAACGTCAACAGTCAGCTGCTTTATGTGAGATGATAATTTAGATTAATGACAGATGAAGTATACTTTAAGGAGAAAATATTGAAAAGATTAAGGTTCTAGTCCAAACGGAGCAGGATATAAGACATCAAACTCCTAAGTATCCACTCTGCTAACACTTCCCTCATTTATGAAGTCAGGATACCCAAAATGGACTGGGTACAGTGATATTCCTTAAAATGAGGGGTCGGGGGCAGTGAAAATGGACAACATGGTGTTAGGATTTTATTGCAAAACATTTTTGAATAATGCTGAGCAAGGAAAAAAAGCCAATGTTCTTGCATATTATCAATCATGATATATAAAGATTTAATAAAGAACCAAAAGTCCCCAAAATATCTTTCAAATCTTAAATGTATTCACTGTAAATCTGGTACTGCTGATAATATGCTATAACACAGAAACAGATTTTAGTTTTGAAATTGCCAGCACCCTTTATGCCCTACAGAGATGATACGATATATCGTCTCTTTACAAACAAATGTATCGAGTATTCAGAAGGTGGCATTCCTTAACTTTACCAAGTTTTACTGCATTTTCTTTGCAGCTGAACTTGTACTTTTCTGGTAAATAAAAAAAATGTGTATTATTGGAACTATTAAAAAAATGTATCTGCAACCACCCATTTGTAATTGATATCCATTTTCTTTTCCTCAAAAATGTAACTGAAAAATATAGTCATTCTAAAATCTCTTGGGTCAATTTAGTTTGTTTAAAAAACCAACCATTTTGCCATTCTAAGCTGCTACTTTATTTAATGTTTTGGTTTAAGTCTTTCAAGAAGTCAAATATCTACATGTGACAAGTAACAATTAATCTGGGAAAAGAAAAGAAAAAAAAAAAACAAAACTGTGAACCAGCCCCTGCTGACAAATGCAAAAGCTTTGTGTGACATGACGCTGCACTCGCTATCTGTGCCTTCATTCAGCTTCTTCTTCAGTCACCATTTGATCAATGAATGACAGAAAGGTAAGTTAATCACAGAGCAGCTTCTATTTGAATTAGGCTTAAACACCACAGGGAGAAAAAATTATTTCTCTTTACACCACAATGCACTGAGGCTGGCTCAGGAGATACTGAGCCTGCACTGAGGAGGAATAGGTGGATTTCACTTCAAGGTAAAACAATAACATGTGTTTGTTCCTCCTGTGCTGCCTGATTTATAGAGATGGGAAGAGACAGGCAGAGAGAAATCTTTGGGGTCAGCCAAGTCCTTGGGAGTGTCTGGACAGCCCAACATGCCCTCCTCCTGGATGCCCGGCTTAGTACAGCCAGCTAATCCTGCACAAAGAGATTCATCCCTGAAGCAGAGAACAACCCACAGTCCCAGTCTCCTACTGCCCAGGGAACCACATCAGTTTGGGGACCCAGAGTGATCCACACAATTGAAGAATCACACCTCTGGGCAGAAGGTGTTGAGGATGCAGCCATTCCGTAAAGAATAAAGGGAAAGTAAAGCTCTTTGATGAGCCTCCAATTCTTAGTTCCTGCAATTCACAAGGGTATGCAGATTAACATAGTCATCACAGATTATTGTTATCAAATAGAGTGACCATATGTCTCAGTATCCCCAAGACAGTTCATGTTTATGCCTGTCATGCCAGTATAATTATTTAATAGCACCCACTTTCACTGATCTCAAGTGTCCTGATGTAGGAAATAAATTATGTGATTATCTAAATGTTAAGTAATTTACCTAAAATGATGTGAAAAAACCTATGATACAGCTGTGAAATGAGACCAAATCGACAAAATCTTAGTCAAGTTTTCTCCCTTACTATCACATATATACAGCATTTACACTCATTTCAAAAATGCACAATAAATCTTCCCAGACACGGTAAAACTAATACCAACAATCTAGAATTACAGCATGCTGAAACTAAAAAATTTATTTTAAAGTACCTCCATTCTAAGTCAATAACTTGTGTCAATAATTCTTACAACTCCCCCATTGAGCCTACTTTTTCAGAAAGAAAATAGGGTTTCCAAATGCAATTTTAAATGATTGTGACTAGTAACAGAGCTAAAATGATAGTCATTTCCATGCTTCTAGTGCTATCCAAAAGCAGAAAATAAAAACATTCACTACTAGGGGCTCTTAACTTCAATATATAAAAATAGTGCCAGCAAAGCTTAAGATAATATAAAATTCTGGGAGAATATATCGTAACGCAAGAGATAAAGTATGCAAAATATGTATCACTCTTCTGAAGGAACTGACAGGATGTTTACTCAGATACTATGCTAAGTGACTATGCTACTCCCATTATATTTTCTATTGAGGCAAACAAAATTAAAGTCTAAAAGCCTAAAATCTAAACCTAAATCCTGGCCAGTAGGGAGCAATATAATCCAAACAAATGCAACAGAATCTGTGCTGTGGCTGAACACTTCATGTTACCTAATATTCTTGGTGGTGACAGGGCAGGAGGATGAAAGATGCAGAAATCTAAAAATTTCAGGCTTATATTCCTTCATTTCCTCATTTAACAAAGATTTACTGAGCACTTAGTAGGCACTATGCCTCTAGTGATGAACAAAATAGACATGGTCCCAGCCCTCACAGAATTCACATTCTGGTGGGAGAACTCAACATTAAACCAGGAACCTTCTATTATGTAGATCTACTTTGTACAATTTTAAATTATAAAAAGTTAAGGTAAAGAACAAGATGTCATAAGAAATAATGATAAAATCAGAAGGGTGTAATTTAAACTGAGGTTGGGAACATTCCCTGAAGAAGTAACATTTAAGCTGAGTAGTCATGACTGGAGTGAAGAGTATAAGAAAATATTGATTATTCAAGAGAAGGACCCTCATATACCAATGTCCTTCAGTGCAAAAAAGCTTGGCCTTGTGTACATGTAACAAATGCATCTGTTTAAGAAGAAAAAGAAAGAAAATATCCCAGTGATTCGCAACCAGCAAAAACAAATAACTTAAATTGACAAATATAATAAATTCCAAATAAAGACTTTTGGCAAGGCTGAAGCGGGGAAGTTCTATTTTATTTTTGGCACTATATTGAAATATGTAGGGCCAGGCTCACACCTGTAATCCCAACACTTTGGGAGGCCGAGGCAGGAGGACTGCTTGAAGCCAGAAGTTTAAAACTAGCCTGGGCAACAGAGCAAAACCCCATTTCTACCAAAAACAAATTTGTTTTAATTAGCTGGGTGAGGTGGCATGCACCTGTAGTCCCAGCTACTTGGGAGGCTGATGCAGAAGGATTGCTTGAGCCCGGAAGTTGGAGGCTGCAGTGAGCCATGACTGTGCCACTGCACTCCAGCTGGGGTGACAGAGCAAGACCCTGTCTCAAAAAAAAAAGACATGGTGAGCTGCATAAAACAGAAAGACTAAATAATCGTGGCTGAAAACAGAAAGACATTAGTTGTTAACAAAACACGAAGTCTAGACGCATCCAGTTCCAGGGTTCATTTCATGGCTCAGAAAAGCCAATGTTTAGGCTGGAATCTCATATTCTCTTGGCCTTTCCTTCATGTGTGTCTGCTGAGCTTCAAGCTTTAGTATTACTTGCATTCCAAGCAGGGGAGAAGATGACACAAGTAAGCCCTCTTGTGCAAATACTTATCTTTTAATAGAAAACAAAATCTTTCCTAGAAACCTTCCAGACAACTTCCTGTTGTCTCATTAACCAGATCTGTGTCTTGTGGCTATGCCTGGCTATGACAAACAAGTATCTGGTAAAGAGGGAATGCAATCACTATGAAGCCTAAGACCGCATTACAATTCATTTCCAGGAACTAGGCACATGGCCACCCAAACAAAATCAGGGTTCTAATGGCCGGGAAGAAGTACGGTTGATATGGCTGATGGGTAGCCAACTAATACTATCTGCCAAAGTCACTCAATAATTTTTACAGGTAAGTTACAGTAGCTCCTCTTTGTCTACGGAGGTTCCAAGACCTGCAGTTGATGCCTGAAACTGTGGAGCGTACGAAACCCTAAGTACTGTTTACTATGTTTTTTCCTGTACGTGAATATCTATGATAAAGTTTAATTTATAAATTAGGTAGAGTAAGAGATTTAACAACAATAACTAATAATAAAATAGAGAACCAGATATAAATCAATACATTTACAGTCAATTTATTTTCCACAAAGGTGTTGAGAACATACAATGGGGAAAAAAAACACTCTTCAATAAATGATGCTAAGTTCCTATCTCTCACCATATACAAAAATCAAATAAAAGTAGATTAAAGATTTAAATCTAAGACCTGAAACTATGAAACTACTACAAGAATACATTGGGGAAACAACCCAGGATATTGGTCTGGGCAAAGATTTTTTGTGAAGACCTCAAAAGTACAGGCCACCAAAGCAAAAAGAGAAAAATTAGATTACATCAAGCAAAAACGCTTCTGTAAGCAAAGGAAACAATCAACAAAGTGAAAACACAACCCAGAATCTCCCACAGAATAGGAAAAAGTATTTGCAAACCATCCACCTGGCAAGGGATTAATAACCAGAATATATAATGAGCACAAACAACTCAATAAAAAAAAAACACAATCTGATTAAAAATTGGGCCAAAGATCTCAATAGACATTTCTGAAATGAAGACATACAAATGGCCAGTAGATACATGAAAAATGCTCAACATCACTAATCATCAGAGAAATGCAAATCAAAACCACAATGAGATGTCATCTAACCCCAGTTAAAATGGCTTTTATCAAAAAGGGAATAAAAGATGCCGGCACAGATGTGGAGAAAGGGGAACCCCTGTAAACTGTTGGTGGAAATATAAGTTAGTATAGCCAATATGGAAAACTGTGTGGAGGTTCCTCAAAAAACTAAAAATAGAACTACCATATGTCCAGCAATTCCACTGCTGGGAATATATCCAAAAGAAAAGAAATCAGTATTATCAAAAAGATATGTGCATTGTAATCAGCACTCCCATGTTTATTGCAGCACTATTCACAAAAGCCAAAATATGGAATCAATGTTAAGTGTACATCAAGGGATGAAAGGACAAAGAAAATGTGGCATAAAAAGACAACAGAGCATTATTCAGCTATAGAAAAGAATGAAGTTCTGCCATTTGCAGCAACATGAATGGAACTGGACATTATGTTAAGTGAAATAAGCCAAGCACAGAAAGACAAATACCATATGTTCTTACTCGTATGTCGGAGCTAAAAAAGTGAATCTCATGGAAAGAGAGAATAGACTGGTGGTGACCAGAGGCCAAGAAGGGTACAGGGCAGGAGGGATGCAGAGACATTGACTAGCAAGTAAAAATACAGCTTGATAGAAGAGATAAGACTTAGTGTCTGATGGATCACCGGGAGACTATAGATTATAATAATCTATCGCATATTTCAAAATAGCTAGAAGAAAACAATTTGAATGTTTCTAGCATAAAGACAAATATTTAAGGTGATAGATATCACAATTACACTAATTTGATCTTTATAAATTATATGAATGTATTAAAGTATCACATGTACCCCAAAAATATGTACATCTATTATGTATCAATAAAAATAAATAAATAAAAGAATCTGAGACAAGAAAAATACAAACCATTATAATCATAGTTTTTCTGCCTGTTCTCTGATTGCATTTCCTCCTTGATTTGATAATGCAACTGTTCGTGATATCATTTCCGCATAAGATAGTGGTTATTATTATTTTTTGGAAAGAAAAAAGAAAAACCCATCATTAATTCAACAAGAAAAACTAATAAAAAGTAGAACAATTATAACAATATACCTACCGTAATAAAAGTTATGAAAAAGAGAAAGAATATGGTCTCTTCTCTCTCTCAAAGTACCTCATCCCACTGCACTCACCCTGTTTCTTCTTGTCATCTATCCATAACGAAAATCGTGATCTTGTGGTAACTGAGAAGGCAACGAAGTGACTAATGGGCAGGTAGCGTGTATGCAGCATGGAGACACTGGACAAAGGGAGGATTCATGCCCTGGGCAGGTTTCAACACAAAACTCAGAACACACCCATTTAAAACATGCATTATTTCTGGAATTCTCCATTACATATTTTCAGAACATAGTTGACTCTGGGTAACTAAGAAAGCAAAACCATGGGTAAGGGTGGTGGCGGCAGGGGGTCCTTACTGTATTTGGAGCTTACGTGATTGAGTCATTACACTATTAATATTTATCGATCATTTACTATATGCAAAGCTAGATGTAAAATGTTGAAGAAACAATAGTAATCAAAAACAGACTTGGGAGGCCGAGGTGGGCACATTACAAGGTCAGGAGTTCAAGACCAGCCTGGCCAATATAGTGAAACCCCATCTCTACTAAAAATATAAAAATTAGCCGGGCGTGGTGGCGGGCGACTGTAGTCCCAGCTACTCGGGAGGCTGAGGTAGAAGAATCGCTTGAACCCCGGAGGCGGAGGTTGCAGTGAGCCAAGATCGTGCCACTGCACTCCAGCCTGGGTGACAGAGCGAGACTCCGCCTCAAAAAAAAAAAAAAAAAAAACAGACATAGTCTCTGTTCTTATACACAGCCTAATATCACAAAAAAATTAATCAAATAAAAAAATATAACTCTGGCAAGATTGCTCTAGTGAACTTTGTTCCTTTTACAAAAAATAATTCCCCTTTATCTCTAGGAGCTAGGCAACTGGTTCAAGACCAAAAGAATCCTATCTTCTCCCTGGTCACAGTTATTGGTTCAGAAATGGATGAGGACATGACACAAGGAGGGCCAGTGACATGAACGGAGAGGACTGCTGAGCACTCTTGGTCCAGAAGCTCTCTCACTCCTCTAAGGTTTTGGAAACAAGCGCCCCCAAACTGTTGATGGTTTCCCATAACCGAGAGAGAGGACTCTGGCCAGACGATAAAATTTACGTTAGAGAAGACAAAGTAGAGAAAAGCACAAAATTGAATCTTTGGCAACATCACTCAAACCAATCAACCCTAAAGCCCATCTGGCTTCTGAACCCTCAAGACACAGGAGACAATAAAGCCACTAGGTTTGTTTAAAACAATTTGACTTCAGTTACTTGCAATGGCAGTCACTCTAAGCTGAAGAGCAATTCACCATACTAAGGGAGCTTAACAGAGGAAGATGTACTCAAGTTAGAGAAGGTAGCTTTGAGTAAGCATCTCTTAAACTGAGATCAGAAGAATAATTAGCAAGGGAAGGAAGGGCACTCCAGGCAGCTGGATCAGCATTTGCAAAGGTCCCCAGGGTAGAGGGGAAAGAGGTGAGTACTAAAGAATGAAAAGCAGCAAGCGAAAAATAAAAAGGTATGACATGGGACTGGAGAAGTGGGTAAGCGCCATAGTCGTCAGGGTCTCATAGGCTGTGTTAAGGAATTAGACTTCATCCTAAAAGTGCTGCAGGTTTTTGGAGAGAAGGTGATATAAAAATTACTGTCTATAGTGTGGTGACATTAATTCATATATATCTAAGGAACATACCTGACCACCAGTACTATAATGAACATTTCATTTTCAAATAGCTTTCAAGACAACAGAAAAATTTCAGCAAACACTGTAACTTGACACACGTGGAATCTCTTCTACAAAGTTAACAGAAGGGCATCCAGACAGCTTGACAGCTCTAGCGAACCACACTTATGTCCTGAAACGTATTAATCTGGGATAGTTTACTTGGAAATTATTTGAAGACCTGGGCTCTACAAATGAAAGCTGACTGTAATTATCATCCAGCCCAGCTCTCACAGTACGCAGAAGCCAAGGGTGTAAGTGGGATTCCTAACAGGGCTTAATGTTATGAATGCCCAGGCACATGTGCTTGTCTCAAAGTGCTCCAAGACTTGAAATAAATAACAATGTGCTTATCTCAGAACGTCAAGAAACAGGAAAGAAAGTATGCTGCCTGCTAAGCTTTTTCTATTTCATGACTGCTTCATTTTACTTTCCCTTTGCACTGCAGAATTCCAGGAATTGATTTAAAAAAAGATAATTCTCCCAAAAAACTCATCTTCATTAACTGAAACTAACTGTTTTACTCTCTGCCAATATTACTGTAATCCATTTCACAGAAGCCAGGCTTTTATAACTCTTAAATATTGTTAGTTAACTCAAACTCACAATTACACATACAGATTACAAGTTTGCCAGGCTGAAGTGCTTCAATTGTGCTCAGAAAATAAATGTTTACATTAAAACGTTATAAAATATTAAATCATGTAATTCACTATAATACCAAAGAAATCATGAATTCTCTGTATATCTTCTATTGTTAATAACAGTCTACAGTATACTATCAACGATATGTATCGACCCATCCTCTGAGAGATCAGTTAACATCACAGATCTCAGTATTGCACATCTTAAGACACTGACCTAGTATTTTTCCAGTGATTAGCAAAATGTAGGCTGTTTTTTGTAAACAGACTCAACACTGCAAATTCTAAATGTTTTCTGTAAACAACCTACTGACCTGAACAAACAAGAGATGGCGGCTAATACACTCATTCGAAGAAGTCAATCAGAACTTCAAATATGTCACTAGAAAAATTACTAAAATGAGATACTGCTAAACAGCAATGAAAGGACTCTTCTTTTCTCTTTTTTTTTTTTTGGTTATTTTCATTTTTTTTTTTATTATACTTTAAGTTCTAGGGTACATGTGCACAAGGTGCAGGTTTGTTACATATGTACACATGTGCCATGCTGGCATTAGGTATATCTCCTAATGCTATCCCTCCCCCCTCCCCCAACCCCACCACAGGCCCCGGTGTGCGATGTTCCCCATCCTGTGTCCAAGTGTTCTCGTTGTTCAATTCCCACCTATGAGTGAGAACATGCGGTGTTTGGTTTTCTGTCCTTGCGATAGTTTGCTCAGAATGATGGTTTCCAGCTTCATCCATGTCCCTACAAAGGGCATGAACTCATCCGTTTTTATGGCTGCATAGTATTCCATGGTGTATATGTGCCACATTTTCTTAATCCAGTCTATCATTGATGGACATTTGGGTTGGTTCCAAGTCTTTGCTATTGTGAACAGTGCTGCAATAAACACATGTGTGCATGTGTCTTTACAGAGCATAATTTATAATCCTTTGGGTATATACCCAGTAATGAGATTGCCGGGTGAAATGGTATTTCTAGTTCTAATACCTAGGAATCCAACCTACAAGGGATGTGAAGGACCTCTTCAAGGAGAACTACAAACCACTGCTCAATGAAATAAAAGAGGACACAAACAAATGGAAGAACATTCCATGCTCATGGATAGGAAGAATCAATATCGTGAAAATGGCCATACTGCCCAAGGTAATTTATAGATTCAGTGCCATCCCCATCAAGCTACCAATGACTTTCTTCACAGAATTGGAAAAAACTACTTTAAAGTTCATATGACCCAAAAAAGAGCCCGCATTGCCAAGTCAATCCTAAGCAAAAAGAACAAAGCTAGAGGCATCACGCTACCTGACTTCAAACTATACTACCAGGCTACAATAACCAAAACAGCATGGTACTGTTACCAAAACAGAGATATAGATCAACGGAACAGAACAGAGCCCTCAGAAATAATACCACACATCTACAACCATCTGATCTTTAACAAACCTGACAAAAATAAGAAATGGGGAAAGGATTCCCTATTTAATAAATGGTGCTGGGAAAACTGGCTAGCCATATGTAGAAGCTGAAACTGGATCCCTTCCTTACACCTTATACAAAAATTAATGTGAGATGGATTAAAGACTTAAATGTTAGACCTAAAACCATAAAAACCCTAGAAGAAAACCTAGGCAATACCATTCAGGACATAGGCATGGGCAAGGACTTCGTGTCTAAAACACCAAAAGCAATGGCAACAAAAGCCAAAATTGACAAATGGGATCTAATTAAACTAAAGAGCTTCTGCACAGCAAAAGAAACTACCATCAGAGTGAACAGGCAACCTACAGAATGGGAGAAAATTTTTGCAATCTATCCATCTGACAAAGGGCTAATATCCAGAATCTACAAAGAACTTAAACAAATTTACAAGAAAAAAATCAAACAACCCCATCAAAAAGTGGGCGAAGGATATGAACAGACACTTCTCAAAAGAAGACATTTATGCAGCCAAAAAACACATGAAAAAATGCTCATCATCACTGGCCATCAGAGAAATGCAAATCAAAACCACAATGAGATACCATCTCACACCAGTTAGAATGGCGATCATTAAAAAGTCAGGAAACAAAAGGTGCTGGAGAGGATGTGGAGAAACAGGAATACTTTTACACTGTTGGTGGGAGTGTAAACTAGTTCAACCATTGTGGAAGACAGTGTGGCGATTTTTTTTTTTTTTTTTTTGAGACAGTCTCGCTGTGTCTCCCAAGCTGGAGTGCAGTGGTGCGATCTCAGCTCACTACAAGCTCCACCTCCCAACTTCATGCCATTCTCCTGCCTCAGCCTCTCGAGTAGCTGGGACTACAGGCACCCACCACCACATCCGGCTAATTTTTTTTGTATTTTTTTAGTAGAGACGGGTTTTCACTGTGTTAGCCAGGATGGTCTCCATCTCCTGACCTCGTGATTCACCTGCCTGGGCCTCCCAAAGTGCTGGGATTACAGGTGTGAGCCACCACGCCTGGCCTGGACTGTTCTTTTCATGGCAAAGCTCCTAGAAGAGAGAAAACAAACTCTAAATAAATAATAGCTATCATTACAATAAGCTGTAGCTAGTTTGATTAACAAATCATCCTAAAATATCCAGACAATATGAAAACATTATTCCTAAAATACTGGTCCCTCATATGCAGCAAGAAAGAAAGAATGAAAGTGATCTATAACAGATTACAACAAATCACACTGTAAAAGAATTCTCATGGTGGTCGGGGTTTGTAGCATGAAAAGATGGTTTCTTTCCTTTACAATGAAAAGAATTAATGAGTTTTTTTTTTTTAAGAAAAAAAACCTCTAGAAATAACTGACATTTGAAATACTTTACACAAAATAAATTGTCAATTTTGTTGTTACTGCCCACAAATACGGGAACCCTTAGCCTCCAATCAATGAAGCTAGAGTGTCTAGTTGCAACATATCATAGCTTTCAAGATTTCTCAAAACAGAGAACAGATTTTCATAAGTATATCTGAAAAAAGCTTCTACAGAAATGTGAGTCTCAGAGAATCCCCCAAGAGGAAATGTCTCACATACACACATAAATAGACAACCTAAAAAAGCACTACGTCTTTTCAAAGAGATGTTAATAGAATAAAATGTAAATTTATCTTAAATAACTAAAAAGCTAGTATAAAATCAACATTTGAGATTCCCAGAATATTTATAATATTTCCAATACAAACCGGTTAGCTTTACAAATAAGTGAGAATCCAACTAAATTAAAATTCAAATATGACTGAAATGTACCCATGTTATCCAAGAAAAATCAATAACCTTCCAATTCCTGAAGCTGGTACTTTATCTGTGAAGCAGTGTTGTATCATAGCTAGACAGATCACATCTCAGGCCAAGGTCCACACTAGCTACTTTCCAGCTGTGTGACCCTGGCTAAATAAACTCTCAGCTTCATTTTTTTTTCTTTTTTTTATTCTATTTTATTGAGATGGGGTCTCGCTATGTTACCCAGGCTGGCCTCAAACTCCCAAGCTCAAGTGATCCTCCTGCCTCAGCCTCCCACAGTGCTGGGATTACAGATGTGAGCCACCACACCTGGGCAGCTTCACTTTTCTTAAATGGAGATAACAGCTCTTCCATCAGGTCATGGGAAGACTAACTCAAATCATATCAGGATTCAGCTCATCTCATGCCTAAAACATATGAAAGCCGATGTATTACCTTTTCACGGGATCTCCCCGTTCTCACCCTCATGCACTCTACAGCTCTGGCCAAAGCCTTCCGCAGGTCATGATTGTTTTTTCTTAGACCTCAATCAGGGTTTCTCCTTCATCCTTTCAAGGTAAAGGGTGAGTCATCTTCCACCTACAGTAGCCATCTTACCACCACATTCAAACATTTAAATCCTTCAATTCCTTTCAAGGCCCAGGAGAAACTTAAATCCTCTCAAGCCCAACACAAACACTACCTCCTCCATGAAGCCCCCTAATTCCTTCAGGTCAATGTTTCTCAGCCCTGGCTCTACCCAATCATGGAGAGAATTTTAAAAAAAAATTAAACAAAATTATCTGAAGCCTGGGCCTTAGCACTGCTGTTGGTCTGAGGTGTGGCCCAAGCATCAGGGATGAAGTGACCTCTCCTTGCACTGAGACCCCACAACGCTTCAGCAGCCCTTTGTACAGGATGGTAGAAAAGTTATTGCTGTTTTCACCCTTAAAAGTAACGGTCAAAACTGCAGCTACTTTCACCAACCTAATACCTTATTTTAATCATATACAAATGCATTTAAAGTATAAACTTCTGGAAAACAGGATCAGTGTTTGATTTATATATCGCCCTCAAGTTACCACAACAACAGTAACTTAAATTGCTAGGCTGCCAGCTATCTCTTGAATGCACAGGTAAATAAATAACATTTCAGTGCCTCTGGAATATAGGATTCAAAGTCATGATTTGAAACAAAAGGTTATCAGTACCTGAATAAATAATCTCCATTTCAACAGCTCAGCTGTTAAGTTCTACTTATATAACTCAGCCAATGCATAAGGGAAGAAATGATTTATTCCAGACAGAGAGAAAACATCACTAAAATAAAGCTAGTACAGGGCTAAACACTTCAGTGGTCCCTCCCTTCCCACCTCCTACCATTCTAAAACACTTAAGAGTTCTCTAAATAGATCAAGCACCCTTCTTCCTCCATGCTTGGATATACACTGCAATCTTTAACCACATTCCTCATCTGGCTTTTACTTCTCATTCTGGAAACACCTTCTACGATGGAAAGCCTTCCCATAGGTGAAACTCCTGGTTCAATATTCCTCTTCCCTATTCCTTTAGCGTTTACTAATATTACTCATATCGCAGCAACTGTCAAAAAGAAATTATTGGCCAAGTGCCACGACTCACAGCTATAATCTGAGCTCTTTGGGAAGCCAAGACAGGAGAGGCACTGAGGAGTTTGAGACCACCCTGGACATCATAGTGAAATCTCATCTCTACAAAAAAAAAAAAAAACACTTAAAAATCTGCCAGGCATGGTGGCATGAGCCTATAGGCCTAGCTACTCAGGAGGCTGAGGCAGGAAAATCACTTCAGCACGGGAGTTTGAAGTTACAACGAGATATGATAGCACTACTGCACTCCAGCTTAGTAAACAGAGACCCTGTCTCTATAAAATAAATTATTGTTTCGCTTATCTAGTCACCTACAAGTTTCTTAGGGGTGGGGAAGCTCTCATCACTGTGACTATATCATCTTATATAATATATGGTACTTATGGGCCGGGCGCGGTGGCTCACGCCTGTAATCCCCACACTTTGGGAGGCCAAGGCAGCTGGATCACCTGAGGTCAGGAGTTCAAGAAAAGCCTGGACAACATGGTGAAACTCCATCTCTACTAAAAATACAAAAAATTAGCCGGACGAGATTGCACCATTGCACTCCAGCCTGAGAAACAAGAGTGAAACTCTGTCTCAAAAAAAAAAAAAAAGAAAAAAGAAAAGAAAAACCATAACCTATAGTACTTAGGAAGTGTTCAATAAATGCTGAAGGAATGAACGAATGAGGAAAAAGTCTTCAGTTTGTTCATCTGTACAAATGAATGAGTTGATATCTAAGGTCTTCCCCCTTCCCCTTCGTGTTCTATTAAAATGAAGGATCAATGTATAATACTTGGATTCATGTGTGGTGTAGAATAGAATAATTTCTTTTTGTTGTTGTTGTTGTTTTTTCTTTTTGGTAGACAGGGTCTCACTCTGTTGCCCAGGCTACAGAGCAGTAATGTGATCATGGCTCAATGCAGCCTCAACCTCCAGGGCTCAAGCAATCCTCCCACCTCAGCCTCCCAAGTAGCTGGGACTACAGGCACATGCCACCACACCCAGTTAATTTTTGTATTTTTTGTGTAGAGGTGAGGTTTCGCTATGATGTATTTTTTGTATAGATGGGGTTTTGCCATGTTGCCCAGGCTGGTCTCAAACTCCTGGGCTCAAGCAATCCACCTGCCTCAACCTCCCAAAGTGCTGGGATTACAGGTGTGAGCCACCATGCCCAGCTGAACAATTTCTAAATAATATCGTAAGTTACTACTACTATACAAATTTTACTTTATACATCATTTTGATATTTAAGCTTAAGGACAGTAAATTGTTGTTACACTGTTTATTATGATTAGAGAAATTTCTCTTCACAAAGCATTAAGTGGTCATTAACAACCCTAATTTTAATAGAAGGTAACACATGATCTTCCATAAAGAACTACAGGTAGTCGATAACTTTTGATAAATGAATACTAAAGAAATTTTTACGTTTTGATGCCTAAATGGTACCTCCTGTTTTACAGATACTCTCTAAGAAAAATTTCAACCCAGAATAGAATGACTATTAAAGGACGTATGTGTAAGGTCCATTCTTCAGCTTCTGGCCCAAATCTACTTACAATCTCAAATCGAGTTATTTTTTTTAAGTCATCTCCGCAATGAAGATGTGCAAAAGTGAGATGTAGCTACGGAATGATTATTTTCTTTTAGCCTCTCCAGGCAATGATGTCCAACACATTGGTAAACCATTTTAAATAAAATAATAAGGTATTTTTATGAAGACTTGGCTCAGAATTAACTGGGAAGCCTATCACTTTCCTAACTGCAACCATTGCTCGTACTAACAGAGGACTAAGCTACCCAAACTATTTAAACTATACATATTTATTTGGAAAAGTTTTATTTGATTACAACAAAGTTGAGTAATTTAGATACATTAATTATGTACGTTAATGATTAAATTCCTTGATAATTAGGTAGAAACAATTGTATATAGTAATTATTCCAACTTTACTCTCAAAAGCAAAATATAATAAAATAATGTAATCTTTGCTATTTTTAAAAAAGCCAAAATAATCTTCAAGTTTTTCCTTTTCACTCTGATAGCATTCTCTATCAGTAACTTGCATTAATGTTGTAGCTTTGAGGTGCCGCATATCATTTCATATCACTGGCACACAATAGTGTATCAAGAGAAATCAGCTCTGAATCTTACTCTATAACAATGTGCAATTGCCTTGGTCTTGGATCCTTTAAGAAATAGCAAAGGGAAAACTCAAAAAAGTCCTTTCAATAAAGCAGAGGCTAGATTTGCTCAATGACCTGACCAACCAGGAAGTAATAGAAGTTTTGCTATCCTGTTTAAAAAATAATAATAAACAATAACAGACATGAGATTTTCAAGAAATCAGGGAGGAGACTTAAAGATATCTTAATAAAAGTATTTTCTCTTCAGTGCCTTTTAAAAAATGTCATTGCATCAGGATTAGTAAGAATATCTGGATGCAAGGACACCAGGTTGCAAGTACACTAAAGAATGGTAAGGTCAGAGAAGTGTTTTTTCTGCCTTTAAAGTTCCTGAAAATAGAGGCTGGGCGTGATGACTCACACCTGTAATCCCAGCATTTTGGGAGGCCGAGGCGGGCGGATTGCCTGAGGTCAGGAGTTCGAGACCAGCCTGACCAACATGGTGAAACCCTGTCTCTACTAAAAATACAAAAATTAGCTGGGCGAGGTAGCGCGCGCCTGTAATCCCAGCCACTCAGGAGGCTGAGGCAGGAGAATGGCTTGAACCTGGGAGGCATAGGTTGCAGTGAGCCCGAGATCCCGCCACTGCACTCCAGCCTGGGCGACAGAGCGAGACTCCATCTCAAAAAAAAGAAAAGGAAACAGAAAAGTTCCTGAAAATATAAAGTTGTTTAGACATACAGCAGGTATATCGTTTCAAAACCAAATACACTAAAGCAGATGAGAACACAACCGTGACCAAGTGGTTCGGAGAAAGATGGATTTTAATGCAAAGTTGTTTTGTTTTCACGCATAACGTACTTCTCGCTGTGCTTGAGTGCAGAAAGGTGTGGTTCTTCCTAAGGTTGATTACATAAAGCAAGATTCCAAAAACAAGAAAAGTGCTTTGCAAACACAGTAACTAGGACTGGCTGAAGCTTCCTGCGTCCAGTGCCATGCTCAAAGATCAGAACAAGCAACTTTATCCACCACTTTAATAAGATGATTCAAAAAAGCTGCAGTCTTCTGAAGAAAGCCATGGTTGAAAACTTGCTCCGCTTCTTGGAGAAAGCCTAAAGCCCTAAAGGTCTCTAATTATTCTCCAAAGTCTACAACCCAAGCTGCATTTTATGCATTTATTAGGTTACAAAACCACGGGAACTCTTCACTCAAAAGCAAAAACACATCCGGAAAGAGGAAAAAATCCACGGCCAATGTAAACCCCCTACAACACCAACCGCCCACGTCGTACCCCAGGCTGCAATGAGGCCGGCACTCACCCACCGCTCGCCCGGGAAGCCCAGACCCAGGTGTTTCAAAATCAGAAGTACGGCAGGCTCGTTCGCTCTCACGGGCAAGAATCTTAAACCCCAACTTCAGAGATACCCGCGCACGCTGGGCGCTGCCATTTTGACAGAAAGCGGGCCTGCCCCAGAGGCCCCTACGCAGGTCGCCCTGAGCAGAGCCGGAGTGCCACAGAACCCCTAGCTCATCACCTCCACACCCAGACGTCGCATCCCCCGGCCTGAGGAATGCCAAGAAACCCCACCCTGCCGACCAGGATCAGGCGAAATCAAGTCACCCTTGAAATCCCGCAAACTCTCTCAGGCAGCGCCGAGGGCGACCGCAGCCGGCGTGGGAGGGGCATCGGCGGTCAGGGGCGGGGCGTCGGTGCGGCGGCCTTCGGTAACCCGGGCAACGCGGCCTCCTGGATGTAGGAAGGGGCGCTGCCCCCGAAACACAAATGTCTCCGCCAAGACCCCAGACGGTTCCCAAAGGCTCTCCGTGATGCAACTGCACGTCCCTCGAATGCCTGGGCCTCCGATATCCGTCCGCCAGGAGCTTGGCTGGATGCACGGGCGGCCAGTCCTCTTATTTCCCCGCCCTCCCGCCGCGTGGAGCGGCTGCTGGGTCCCGAGCCTCCGGGCGGGGGCGGGATCGGGGCGGGGCGGAGGCATCTCCCTCCCAGCACCGCCCCCTTAGCTGCCCCGAGCCCTGCCTGCGCCCGCCCCCGAAGCGGCGCGGGACGCCTGGCGCCGTCCGCGATCCGCAGGGCTGCCCGCTTAGGCTTAGGCCCGGCCCGCTGGCAAAGCCGAGCCGCAGCATTTTATTTCGTTCGTGGTTTCCGCACAGGCTGGAGTTTCGTGGGTTGGGTCGTACTTGGGACCTCGGCGAAGAGGACCCGTTTATTTTTTTTTCTTTCCAAAATGGCAGCCTCCAGTCGCGCACAAGTGTTATCTCTGTACCGGGCGATGCTGAGAGAGAGCAAGCGTTTCAGCGCCTACAATTACAGGTGACCCAGCGGGCACCGGGGGCCGGGGGCGGGGGGCCAGGGGCCGGGGACCGGGGGTGCGGGCTGACGCGGAATATCCCCGGGGACTGGGAGCCACCGTGGTTTGCCGGCGGCTGCGAGGCAAGGACCGGGCTCCGCCATCGAAAAGCGTGCTCCTGCCTACAGGTGTGGCCTCTGAGACCTCGGGGAGGAGCCTTTCTTTCTACCAGGGGAGACGTTCATGTCTTGTGACGTTTTCCCCCTAAAGGCTATCTTGGTAGTTATTCTAGGAGCATGATTAGTGTTATGTTTCTGCAGAAGAGAAAAAAGGGATGGAAATCAGTCATTTGTGAAGTTAAGGCCAGTGTGTTGCATATGTAAAACTTCCCTTGAGCACTGGAAGAGTTGAGAGTGGAAGTGGCCAGTGAGTAGTACACTGCGACAAAGCTGAAGGCACACTCTAGCACCTCCCTAAAATTTCCTAGGTGTCGTAATGAGTTCTTTTGGTTGCAAGAATCCATTCTATTTAGGGTATGGTGGAAATGCGTAGCGGAAAAGGAAAAAGGGTCTCACAAGCTTTGGAGCTGAAACCTCAGTTTCTCCTGGCTCACCAGACAGAGATCCCGCTTACTGGACCTTGACAGCAGGATATTGAGGGCCTAAACTCACATCTTTAATATAACACATTCACTTTTTCTCACGCCTCCCCACTCCCCTATTTGCCTATGAGTCTTTTATTGTTACTCTTTGTATGTTTTTTCTAATTCAGAGCCTCTGCTTTCACAGTGTTGCTGGTTCTGACCCATCATTTTCTTATGGATTCTCTCTCTGCATTTTTTTTTAGATTTGTTTTTTGTTTTGTTTTGTTTTTACTAACTACCTGTCTCTCTCTGAGTTTGAGCCATATTCCCATGAGAAAGAATCTGGTTGGATCAACTCATCTCTTTACCTCAAGCCTCACTTAGGTGACTGGCCAGACTGTGGATTGGATGTCATAAGAGCAGAGCCTACCCTTGGAACACACCTGGTTAGGTAGGCCCCCCTCCAGCACGTGTGTGAGCTGGCAGGCCCTGAGATGGGTCTGCCCAGTACAACCTCTGTCAGAGGACAGGAACGCTAAGCCTCTTAAGCAATGACTCTCAAATTTTTAGAAACCCGCCTGGAAAATATACTCATGCTGCAAATTTGAAAACAGCATCTGGGTCATACCACTGAGGTTGTATCCACCCAGTTAAGTGGTTAAATTTCACGGGAGAGAATGATTTTACTTAATGACTTTGACTTTGGAGAATAAAGAGTGTAATAATAAGCATACTGGTGGAATTTTAGCAAGAATTAACCAAACACCTAGCACCAAGTACTTAACCAAGTCTGTTGAGGAAACACATGAAATATGCAAGTTAAATAAATAGAAACCATTTGATTTCACCATAGTCTGGAGTAAAATAGTTTGTCATTAAAGCTTACTCAGGATACACAAGGACTTGGAATCAGCAGGCAGTTCACACACTAAGGAAAGTGGCAGGGAGAGGGTTTATGTGAGAGCATGTAAGAAAGTCAAGGTGGAGCCCTCGAAGACTAACTTGGACAAGTCTCTCAATCTCTGTATTTCAGTTTTCTTGTTTATGAAATAGACTGTTGGACTAGACAATCTCTAAGGACCCTTCCATTTCTGAAATTCTCTTTGGAAATGATTTATGAGCAAATGAGGCCCAAGCGTTTTCAAATGAGTAATTGCCAACTGAACAGGAAAATCATTCACGAAACTCAACAGGAAAATCATTCAAACTTTAGGAAAATCATTCAAGACTCTACCTGAAAGGCAGAAAATTGAAAATGGGTTTCAGTATGGGCAACTGTAAGATCATATGCATTCAGAAAATAATTGATCAAATTATACCTTAAGCATATACTTTTAAGCTAAATTTACTATCCAAATATAAATATATTATCCAAAGGAATCTGATAATCATTTTATACTGTTACCTGAGATCATAGACCTAAAAACCGACATTCCTGCTATTACCTCCCTAGATAAACTTACTTGTTATAAAAATACGTCCTTTTACATTAAGGCTGTGTCTTGTGAATTTCAGGAAAAGTCCCTTCCCTCCTCTCTAATCTCTGCAGCTGTTTGTCACTGATGGCAAATCAATAGCAACACAACATCCACTATCAATTCTGTGTGCCACTGCTATCTTATGTTCTTCATGTCTATTAACACATTTGTTTTGACAATAATCTTGTGAGGTAGGTACTATTTGTATTACCCTGTAAGGCAACTGAGGCACAGGGAGCTTAAGTTACCTATCAAAACTAACACAGGTAGTGCTGAATAAGCAATCAAAAGCAGACTAGTAAACGTTTTTTAATGACCTGCGAATTGTGCCTTAAGTAATTAGAGTAGTGAAATAAATACTTTGGAACTCTCTTGCAAGACCTATAATATAGGCCACGTTTTGATAGCAGGAGCCCTGTCTGCTCCTCCAGTCTCAGCCTAAGTCCCACATGTGCATCCTGTCCTCTGTCATCATCAGTTGCAGTTTCCTAAATGTGCCACGTCCTGTTGGGCCTCCAGGCCTTTACAAGTACTGTTCTATCCAGCAGGCCCTTTATCACTCCTGTCTAGAGTGCCCCCTCTTCCTTCAAGATTGAGCTCAATTGTCACCTTCTCTGAACAAAAGTTTTCCCAACTCTCTTCATCCCACAGCTTCCACTCCCATCCCTCCCACCAGCCAAACAGGTCTCATTGCTGTGTGTCATTCTTTTACCTCAGTGCTTCTACAAAACATCTCTGAAGCATGCTTTGCCCAGTGCTATATCACAGCTATCCCCAACCTTCTTGGCACCAGGAACCAATTTCATGGAAGACAGTTTTTCCATGGACCGGGTCAAGGGAGGGGATGGTTTCGGGATGAAACTCTTCCACCTCAGATCATCAGGCATTAGATTCTCATAAGGAGCATGCAACCTAGATCACTCACATGCACAGTTCACAATAGGTGCACCTATGAGAATCTAATGCCGCCGCTGATCTGACAGGAGATGGAGCTCAGGCCATAATGCGCACTCACCCACCGCTCAACTGCTGTGTGGCCCGGTTCCTAACAGGCCACGGACCAGTACTGATGGGTTGGGGACCCCTGCTATACCAAGCCCTGGAGAGAGAAAGATGAGATTTTTGAACTAAGCTAGGCACCTGTTATCAATGGCTTTACAGGCCTATGTGGGACACAGGTACAGAGATAGTTGTCACAGACTGGGTTAAGTGCTGTGACAGAAGGATGTACAAGGTGTGGAATCTAGAAGGCCTCCCAAGGGGTGA
Source organism: Homo sapiens (assembly GCF_000001405.40). Taxonomy (NCBI): domain Eukaryota; kingdom Metazoa; phylum Chordata; class Mammalia; order Primates; family Hominidae; genus Homo; species Homo sapiens. The sequence continues at coordinate 5,257,343 of NC_000006.12, read as the reverse complement.
TGTTGGATCAAAGGCATGAAGCAGCTTGGTGTGGTCAGGCAGGCAAACAGCACAGCACTGCCAGGGAGGTAAGTATGATGGGGTTGGGGGGGCGGTGACAGGAAGGCACTGAGGTTGGAGAGGGCCACTGATTTGAGGGCCTGGGGGCCGTGCTGAGGACCCTGGACTTTACCCTTAGCTCACAGGCAGCCACTAACCTGACATGACCAGATTTGCATTTTCTGATAGATCACTCTGGCAGCAGTGTAGAAGATGATTTTGAGGGGCCAAGGACATCAAATGGGAGTTGATTACAACAGTGCAGAGTAGAGATTAGGACGCTAGTAAGGACAGGAATAGTGGAAGATAGAGAAGAATGTTGTATTTGATAAATCATTAGAAGGGAAAATTGTTGGAACTGGAATGATTGGATTGAGGACTAAGGAAGAAGAGAATCCAAGCAGAGTCTAGAATGGCATCCAGGTTTCTGGTTAAGCTAAAGCACAGAGAGGGTGAATTTAAACTTGCACCATTAACTGACTCAGGTAATACAGAACTAGCTGGTCTTGTGGAGAGAGGGTTTTTTAGTTCATATTTAGGGTATCTTGGGTGTAAATTTCCCCTGGGATGCCCAGCAGAGGTAGTTAATCACAGGGCTCTGAAGCTCAGAGGAGTGATGAGCACTGCAGTAGTCAGCACCACCAACTCTGTGTGACCCCACGCAAGTCACATCACTCTCTGTTCTGCAGTTTCTTTATAAAATGAGAGTCATAATTGATCCATCTCACACAGTGTAAAAGGGTCCTGAGACCAATAAGTTTAAGAACCACATTCTTTTTTTTTTTTTTTTTTTTTTTTTTTTTTTTTTTTTTTCCAGTTGAAATCTTGCCCTTGTTGCCCAGGCTGGAGGGCAATGGTGCGATCTTGGCTCACTGCAACCTCCACCTCCCAGGTTCAAGCAATTCTTCTGCCTCAGCCTCCCGAGTAGCTGGGATTACAGGTGCCTGCCACTACGCCTGGCTAATTTCTGTATTTTTAGTAGAGGCGGGGTTTCACCATATTGGCCAGGCTGATCTTGAACTCCTGACCTAAGGTGATCCGCCCACCTCGGCCTCCCAAAGTGCTGGGATTACAGGCATGAGCCACCGCGCCTGGCCAAGAACCACATTCTTAAATTTTGTCTTCTTGGCTCTTCTTCAGCCAACTCCTTCAATTCTGATGTTCCCTAGAATAGCATCCGTAGCCACTAATTTTCTCACCTTAAACTAGGATTTCTCAATCTTGGCATGACCAACCTTTTGGGCCAGCTAATTCTTTGTTAATGGGGGCTGTAGTCGGCACCACTGTGGTGAGTTAATACACATCAAGTACTTAGGATAGTCCCTGGTGCAGAATAGGTACTTGATAAGTGGAATTATCATCATAAGTCAAATTAAAACCTAGATATTAGATGAATTATCTAGGAATACTATTTAGGTTAGTAGTTCTCATCCTGGGGTGATTTTATTTGACAATATCTGAAGACGTTTTTGGTTGCCACAACTTGGAAAGGGGGTGCTAGGCATCTGAGGCCAGGGATGCACAGGGGACAACCCCCATTAACAAAGAATTAGCTGGCCCAAAAGTTTGGTCATGCCAAGATTGAGAAATCCTAGTTTAAGGTGAGAAAATTCGTGGCTACGGATGCTATTCTAGGGAACATCAAAATTGAAGTAGTTGGCTGAAGAAGAGCCAAGAAGACAAAGTTTAAGAATGTGGTTCTTCAACTTAACTGGTCTTAGGCCTTTTACGTTCTTAAATATTACTGAGGACCCCAAAAAGCTTTCATTTATGTGGGACGCATTTATCATATTAGAAAAAAAAAGCTTTTAAAAACACCTATTTTAAAGTGACTAAATCCATTATGTTAAATAACACTTTTATGAAGAATAACCATTTTTCCTCCCCCTAAATCAGCAGATTGATAGTTTGACACTAGTGCAAGTCTCTTTCATGTTTGGCTTAATAGAAGACAACTGGGTGCTTATATTTGTTGCTATCTACAATTTGTTGCTATATCACATATCACTTAGTGTCTAGTAATTTCCCCTGTATACTCATGAGAGAATGCAGATGTCTTCCTGATAACTATGAAAATAGTTTTCCTGGTGGATCCCCTGAAAGGTCTCAGAGACCCCCGCCATGGTCCCTTGGCTAACTACTGTAGGGTTGAAGAAATGGGAGGAGATCAAGTAAAGAGTAGTGTTGCAGAAGTCAAGATAGTCATATGTTTGGGGAAGGTAGCTGTGGTCAGCAGGGTGGCTTGTCTAAGCAATATCCAGTTCATAAAGAGGGCAATGTAGAGCCTCTGGTACCATTACCAGAGCAGCATTGTTAGTCAAGTGGTTATGGCAGAACCCAGATTGTGGGGGTTGAGACATGAATCAGAAGTGCGTAAATTGCTGCCGTGAGTAGAGATACCCCCTCCACCTCCCACCGGAATTTTGGTTAATAAAACATGAGAGTAGATAACCGATAGAGCAGGACCCCACGAGAGGTGAAAAGTGGTACCTGAGAGCACAGCTGGTGGGGTTGGTCTTGGACAGAATGAACGGTATTTCATTTTACATGAGTGGAATGAAGGAGAAGAGGGCAAGTTGGAGTATGAGAGGGTGGAAAGTTGAGTTTATTTGTGCCAAGCCTGACAGCCAGTTTCTGGGTTAAGCGGGAGATAAGCAGATGTTGAGGAAGCACCTGTTCTTACCTTTGTTAGGGCACATATCACACATACACAGTTACCAGAAATTCTGTCTTATCTCTATTCCTAGTGCTTAGCATAGTACCTAGGTAGCAAGTTGGTGCAAAAGTAATTGCGGTTTTGGGCCATGAATTTTAAATTATTATAACTAGGATCAAATATATCTTTATTAATCAAAATAGGAACTATTACAATCAACATGTTTTTGCCAACAAGAAATAAGTTTATTCCTGTGGCGTAAAAATCCGTGCTTCGGGATTCTACAAACTCTTGGAAAGCATTTTCTTCATCCTGCTAGTCAAGGAAGCGTTTTCCCTACAAAAAGTTGTCGAGATGCTTCAAGAAGTGGAAGTTGGTTAGCGAGAAGTCAGATGAATATGGCGGATGAGGCCAATTCGTTCAACTTGTGAAGCGTTGGTTTTGTGACATGCAGTCAAGGGTCATTATGGAGACAGTTGGGCCGTTTCTGTTGACCAGTGCTGGCTGCAGGCATTGCCGTTTTCAGTGCATCTCATGGATTTGCTGAGCATACTTCTCAGATGAAACAGTTTTGCCGGGATTCAAGAAGCTCTAGTGGAGCAGACAACCAAACAGTGAGCATGACCTTTTTTTGATGCAAGTTTGGCTTTGGGAAGTGCTTTGGAGCTTCTTGGTCCAGCCACTGAGCTGGTCATCACCAGTTGTCACATAAAATCCACTTTTCATCACACATCACAATCTGATCGAGAAATGGTTCATTGTTGCATGGAATAAGAGAAGACAACACTTCAAAACGATGGTTTTTTTTTTTTTTTGCTCAGCATGAGGCACCCACTTATTGAGGTTTTTCACATTTGCATTTTGCTTCAGATCGAACGACCATCGAATGGTCAACATTGAGTTCTTTGGCAACTTCTCGAGTATTGTAAGAGGATCAGTTTCCATGATTGCTCTCAATTGGTCGGTGACAACTTCCAATGGCCGGCGACTAGGCTCCTCATCTTCAAGGCTCTCGTCTCCTTTGCAAAACTTCTTGAACCACCACAGCACTGTACCTTTGTTAGCAGTTCCTAGGCCAAATGAGTTGTCGCAAGTTGTCGCTGCAGCTTTTTGACCAATTTTGAGCTCAAATAAGAAAATTGCTGAAATTTACTTTTTGTCTAACATTATTTCCATAGTGTAAAATAAACATAAACAGCAAGTCATTAGCAAAAAAAAAAACTGAGAATTGCCCATTAAAATGATGTATAACATAACCACATTTATTTAAGAATTTATTCCAGTATCAAACAGCAAATTCCAGCAATGCAAAAACTGCATTCCTTTTGCACCAACATAATAAATATTCATTGTTGAAATGCAAGAGAAAATTATATTCAATGTATCCCTCTTATAGCTTAAGAAATATGTTATTGTAAAACTTGAGAAAAGGCTAAAGTGATGCCCAAATGCATACCAAGTGTAGTGTCAGAACTCCCTAATTCTTCATCAGATATTTGAGTTTTTATTAATGTGTTATACACTAAGCATTGTGCAAAGAGCTTCAGATCAAAATGAGCCTCCTATTAAGGGTAAAACATTACAAGCTCCTAAAGAAGTTTATCAATGAAGTACAAAGGAAAGGCCATAGAAAGGAGCTGGTCTCCTAAGTGCCACCTTAAAATTAGGAATGCTTTTGACCAGAAGTCATAGGAAGCCCTTACACAGGGCTTAATTGGGGGCTTATTCTTCTCACATAGGAAAGGTCTAGAGGTATGTAGCTGCCAGAGCTTATTTAGCAGCTAGAAAATGTCAAGGTATGTGTGAGTCTCGGTGTTCCTCTCATGCTTATGCCTGATGGTTGCAAACAGCTTTTGAAGCTCCAAATACATCCTTATTTAGTCAGGAAGAAGAAGGGCAGTCACAGCCAGGAAAGGGTAAAGCTTTCCAGGAGGACTCTGCTTTTGCTCATTGACCAAAACTTCATTACGTTTATATCACTAGGTAAACAACAGGCTGGAAAATTAGGATACAGCTATTCTAGCATCTCTAGTGAAAAGACAGCAGAGAGAAAACGGTGGGAAGAACTATTGATTAGGCAACAGTCTGTGTCAGCCACAGAGGTGGACATGCGATGGAAGAGCATTCCAGGCAAAGACAGTAAGGCATGTGAAAAGTAAAATGCAAGGCGTGTGTCAGAACCAGACGTGGGTAATTGTGGCTGAAGTGTTGGACTGAGCTAAATGTCATGATGTTAAATGCTAGGTAAAATCCCCAGTAAGTAACGAAATAGGTTTCAAGGCAGAGTGAGGCATAGAGAGGAGAAGCAACTTGATTGGTCTCACAGTTGGTCAAGGGCAGAATGGGATTAGAAGGCCGCCTCGCTCCCCGTGGGCTGCCGCTTCCACAACCCCATTCTTTTCAGAAGAAAATTCCTGCACCCATGCATCCTGTGAATAAGCCTGCAAAATCTGTAGAAACATCAACCTGGAGAAGTTTATTTTCACAGTTCCTCCTTATAGGTGAAATGGTTAAACAGGCTCCCTAGTTTCATGAGTGGTAAAATTCCTAAGTCCTGATCAACCTAAGTGCTGATCAACGTCAGGTCTCGCTTACTATGTACTACACAACTGAATGAAACACTGATATCTGTGATTGCTGTCTTAATGAAGGAACCAAATAATGATTCGTGTTTAGGAATCTGTTTTCTTTTTGAGCCATTGGAACTCTTTAATATATTACCAGTCGCAATCCAGATTTATTGGCAAGCTGAGGAATTAGAACCATGAGCTCCTGGAGTGGGAACCAGGCAGCCCTCTCACTCATCAAAGGATTTCTTTCACATGTTTTCCTTGTTGCGGATCTTTTAACAGTGACTGCCTCTTCCACCCTATGTGTCACTGATTGATCAAGAAGGCTAGCATGCAATGATACAGTTTGGATGTTGTCTCCACCCAGATCTCATGCTGAAATGCAATCCCCCGTGTTGGAGGTGGGGCCTGGTGGGAAGTAATTGGATCATGGGGGCAGGTTTCTCATGAATAGTTTAGCACCATTCCCCTTGGTACTGTCCTCACAATAATGAGTGAGTTCTCATGAGATCCGGTTGTTTTAAAGTATGTGGCATCTCCTTCCTCGCTTGCTTGCTCCTGCTCTGGCCTGTGATGTGTCTGCTCCCCCTTCACCTTCTGCCATGATTGTAAGCTTCCTGAGGCCTCCCCAAAAGCTGAGCAGATGCCAGCATCACAATTCCTGTACAGCCTGCAGAACTGTGAGCCAATTAAACCTCTTTTCTTCATAAATTAGCCAGTCAATGTGAGAACAGACTAATTCAAATACCACCCTAATATGAATAGTATTAACAAGCACCTTTCACTTTGTAAAACAGGGCAGCTACAGTGAAAGCCTTCATGCCAAATATTCTTCTGGAGACAAATCAACAAATCCATTTCTTCCTAATATTTCTTGAAAACTCACAGTGTGTGTGTGTGTATGTATATATTACCACACTAGAACCTAGTAATAGGTGGAATCAAACACAAGATGGCCCTGCTGTCACAAGATTGTAGTATGGTTGCGCATATGCAATGTACATATAAGGACGGCTCAAGAAACTTACAGAGGAAGCATGCAAATTGAAATAGTGCCCGAACAGTGGAGATTTGCAGAATGTACTGGGGCTGAGGAGACACCTTGCATAATGATGTTTTGGCTGTCATATATCGTATTACAGAAATATTTTTTAAATAACATTGTATTCTATTTTAAGCAGCCAAATAAGAGTTTTGCTCTCTATGAAATGTTGAACACATCATACATGTCTGTAAAAATTGCTTTCACTCTTTTATTATACCATATGTAAGAACATAGTAAAGGAAGGGAAAATTAAAAGAGAAAAAGACTGCTTTGTAAAATTTTCTAAGTTGTTTCCATATCAGTTCTTACGTTTGTTCTGAATTTATATTACTGGATTTCATATAGAGCCTGTGGCGCTGTATTACAAAGAACTATTGTTACCTGACCTCTTCAACAATGCTCCACAGGCAACTAGAGGTGATTCATGTGTGCCTAAAAGCAGTTTCTTAGACTTTTGAAAGATTATTCATTATTGTTAAATATGCTGGAGTTTCCAAAAAACATTTTTTTCTCTTACATTGCTAAGTTCTGCCAGGTTTAATGATAATGGTTTCAAAAAATAAAAATAGTACGGTTAACTTAGAGTAGAAAATATTTAAGATATTTAGATTGAGAAAATTATATAGCAGCCAAGGTTTTGGGGTGAAAAATAACATTCTTTTTTACTCTAGATATTAAAGCAAAGTGTTAAAAAGTTATTAGATCTGCGTGTCATTGCTGATTTATTGACTGTAGTTTACAAGAGTTTCTAAATTGCACTTATTCTATTTATACTTTGCCTTGGCCTTTAAAGCATTTTTAAAACTTACAAAAATACATATAGTAAAATATAATAAAATAAAATACTTGTTATAATTAAAAAATAATGAGGGAGTCAAAGCAATGAGAAAATAAAGATAGAGAATATAAGAAAATGAGGAGTAAAGTTAGGCCAAAAAGTACAATTATAAGTAAATAGAATTTTCTTAAAGTATCTCTAAATTATTCTTTGTTGCAGTAGGATAATACTCTTTTGTATGCTAAGTGTGATTACAAAACATTCTGTTTGAAATGGCTATAATGAACCTAATAGAAAATTACCTCTTAATGACTCATGTCAATAGTCATATGCAGACTTTGCTGAGGATGAAAGGTACTTCATGTCATATTACTTCTCCTGTATACCCCTTTCTTCACACTGAATCCCACCTCATCAGATCATAGATTTCATTTCTCTTAGTATTTCCCCAATCAACTGGTACCTAGCCAATTTAGGAAAGTTCTGACCTTCAGAAACCAAATGAAGTAATAAAACTAGGTAAGTTACATGAACCAAGCTGAGAGTTTCTAGATTTAGCAAAGTTCAGCTCAGTTAAGGCGGGTCCTCCTGGCTGTTGTCGGGATCTGTGATAGGAATGCAAGTTGCCAAGGTTATGACATAATGTATCACTGTGATATCTTAATCATCTGTGTGGTTTCATAGGTTCTCATTGGAATTCTGTTTGATTGTATTAATAGTTCTCTTAACTCAGACGTTTTGAGGTTAAAAAATAGATCGCAGAAATGATCTTTCGTGATAAAAAAAGCAAAAATCACAGTGACTTCCTTCTAGAAATTTCCCCTAATTTTCTTTTCACCCTATCTTTCCCCAAAATTGTGACTCCTGAACTACTTTGACTTACATATTATTTTCAGTATAATGGATGAGTATCATGAGTGAGGCAGTCTTGATTTAGAAAGATTTCTGGCCTTTAAATTAAGAAACCTTGACTCAAATTTTAGGCCAACTGGTTTTTTTATTCTGTGACCTTGGTATAAATCATTTACTCGCTGTGTGTCATCTGTAAATTGAGACTACTACAGTTGCAGAACTTTCTAGCAGAATATTTGGTATTCTAGTAGGTACTCCAAAATCATTTCTGTATTTCAGCAGATACAGATGAATTAATTACTACATAGTTGTCTCTTACACTGGTAGTCCAGCTGCCAAATCTTTGAAATTTCTCATAGCTAACCGTCACTTTGCCAATTCAGTTAAATTTGTTGAACCATATACTTAACCAGATATTTATTAGTCATCCAAAGAACTCTGTCACTGTAATATGTAGCTTTGATATGATGCTTGTTTGATGTTTCATTCAGCAAACATTTATTGGGTACCTGCCTTGCGCCAGACTCATTGTTCCTTGCTGAGGATGCAGAGATAAACAAAACATAACCTTTGCCCAAGAGGCACCTGTAGTTCGGGGCATAGACTGATAGATTCCCTGAAATTTCTACAACAGCATGGTGACAATATACCAATAGTGAAATGGAACAGAATATTGTGGAAGCAGATAGGAGAGACAGCAGCCTAACCCGAAAGGGGATCGGAGCTGAAGAAAGCAGTGGTGGCTGACCTGAGCTGTGAAGGGCTAGTAGGGACTAGCTGGGGAAGGGAGGCAGGAGCAGATGAGAAACAAACAGTGTAGTTGGTGTTGGCTGTAAGGAACTACTAGCACTCTGTGTTGCTGATGGCATGTAGTGGGAGATGAGGGTGGAGACAGGTGGGACTACTAATCACAGAGAGCTTTGTATGCTGTGCTAAGATAAGATGCTAGAACGTGGTCCTCGGCATTGAAAAGCCATTCAGGTGTTTTCTGCAGATTGCAGACTCTCCTTTAGCTAGCTCACCCCATATAGAAAAGACGCGGAAGACATAGAGGCCAGTCAGGAGGCCATTGCCCTAGTTGAGTTTACTCAGATGTTTCCAGAGGCCTGGCTACAGCAATGTGACAGCACAGGGAGAAGGGGACTGGCTTTGAGGTATGTTGATAAACAGAATTAGCTGGCCTTAGTGTTTGGTTGAATATGTTGGATTAGAGAGAACAAATCAAACTAAGGTTATGAGAATATCATTGGAAGAAGAAAAGTTATTCCAAATGAAGCATCAAACGTAGAGGACACTGCCTTCTTGGTATGAGGAAGACATTTTTCTTGAGTACCTTTGTGTACAGTATCACTTCCTGAGAGCATCTGGACATTGCAGGCATGATCTTAAAGCAGGTACCTGGATCTGGGTGTTAACTTAATGTGTAGCCCTCTATATCTGCTTATTTCTCTCTTTTTCATCCAGTTTTTATGTATATTTTCTATATTAATGTTAATAATTTGCCGATTAATTATAACTATAGTAAATAACTATAACTGTAAACTATTAATGTTCATCATTGCTCAATTAGTTGATTATGTCTGCTCTCAGAGTAATTTTTTTTTATTTAATGGATGGCTGCTGCCCTCATTAGACATCACTGATGCATCTATTAAGCTGTATGTATTTATTCTTTTGTTCCTGGTGTGATGTTCTGAAAGGGTTTACCACCCTCTCCCTTTGGCCTAGTTTATTCCAAGTTAACTTACGTGATCAATTCATTGTAATTATGAATATTACTCTGTAGCATAATTACTGACTTAAGGATTTTATACATGTTTTCTGCATATTCACTCAGATATTTTCCCTATACAGTTAACTCTCCTCCACATCTGATTCCTAAGAGTGATATTGTTTTAACCAGATATCACTTCTATAGGCAAAAGTGTCTCTTAACTAAAATCTCCTTTACGCTTGACTAAACAAAAAGCTAAATTAAATGAGAAAGCAATTCCTTGCAGACAGATTGGAGCCAGAAAGGATCATGGATTCTCCTGTCTTAGTCCAGTTGTCTTTTATTCATCCAGCAAATCTTGTTTGAGCACTCACTGCATCCGGTAGTCTAGTGTTCTGTTTCTCTCCTCCTCAGACTAAGAATCAAAAGCTTCCAGCACTGTGGGGGCCTCTGGACTTGGGGGGACATTAACATAGTGAGCATAGCATGCTTTTGCCTCAAACTTGAAACTTGAGGTAAATTCCCAATGGGGGTATAACCAAACCAGAGCAGACCCTGATCAGGCACCCTTCTGGAATGGGCATTGCTCACAAGCTCTGCCCGCTGTGGGCCGCAGAATCCTGACCGTGACCATCAGTCTCAGCACCCGGATTAGACACATCTCCTTTCCTGTGTCTCAAGGACTGTTTTCACTTGAGGCTCTGACGTATAAAAGTATGTCCAGACACCTCAGATCTCTGTGGGTGGTCCTTCACCCATTTCCCTCTTTGCACTTTCCCTGTAATTTTATCACATTCCGTGGTTTCAATTGCCACCTCTGTGTTTACTCCCAAGTCTCTGTTTCCAGCCCCAGCCCCTCTCCCAAGTACCAGACACTACTCACCTGCCTCCTGTGAGGGCCCTTCCAAGGTACATAGGCAACTGCTCCACATCCACCCAGACCTGCCACAACAAAGCTGGAACTGGGCATTTGTCCAAGACTCCTTCCTCGCCCCAACTTCCCCGCATTCTGTCTGGACACCTCCCAGGCCCACTCCCTCCACTTCACCCTCACTACCTTCACCCATCCCATGCTGACTTCTAACCTGGGTGGCTGTGTCCGTATACCACTCTCAGTCCCCCCTGCACCCTGCCCTCCTTACTGTGAGGTTTCTCAAGTACAGCAGCAACTAACTGAGCTGTGTGCTGGGCACTAGGATAAATGTGGTAGTTGGGGAATTCTTAGGAGGAGGAAGTTCAGTGGTTTCTCCAATTAAAGACCTTGTAAGGAGAACAGAGAACTGAACCCAATCTTTGACTCCAGAACCTGCACGGTCTCACCCAGCCACTCCACCCCCTTGCTTCAAATTTGCCAGTGGCGCCATGTGGTTTCTGGAATGGAATTCATTCTTAGCTTCACATGGCACTCTTGTTCTTGCCTCTCGCTTCCTGTCTACTCTTCATGTCAGCAAATCCAACTTCTTGCATTTTCTTAATAGTGCCACACGGCTGTAGACCTTCATGTGATTCCATATTGTTTCCTATGTTTGGAACACACTTTCCTTCCTTATTAGCAAATTTTTATTCATCCTTCAAAATTCAACTTATAGGTCAACTCTGGGTAAGCACTCTGAAACTGCCCAACACCACCCTGCTCCCTTTTTTTAATTTTTTAAAGGAAAGAAGAAGAATAAGGAAAAAACTATAGTTGTTTCTTATTGTTTTTGGGATAAAGTCCAGAATCCTTACCATGGTCTGTGTTTCCTGCCTTTCTCGCCTTATGTCCTGTCACCTTCCCATTTGGGGATGGTATTGTCACTCTGGCATTTTCTCAGCTTCTTAAATGCTCTGCTCCCTGGTGCTCATGCTGTCCCTCTGTCTTAAGATCTTCTGCACTCACTCGCCTGGACCCCAGCAAGGCACTCTGCAGTCCTGTAAGTTCACAGCCCCATACACGTTTCCACAGTGACACTTGCACCACTTGTAATTGTACATTTATTTTGTTCTGATCTGAATCATGGTTCTCTGGCCTCAGGCTCCAGGAAGTCAAGGACAAGGACTAGATTTGCTTTTGCTCAGTACTGTCAGCCCAATATCAATGCCAGACAGCTTGTGGGGTGCACAAGTCTGTGTGTATGAGTTATGTTTATGGCAGCCCCTCTCTTGTCTTCCAGACACCGTATGCAAAGTCCTGGCTATAACATGTCCCCATCACTCTTGCCACATTTTCACTAGACTGCCATCCTCCATGGGTGTAAGAACTGTGTTTGAGTTAACTGTTTCCACAGTGACAGAACACTGCAAAGCATAAGAACCGTTGGCTGAGTGAACACTGCATGTGTGTGTGCTGCTTATTAACAAGTAGGAGTAAAGGGATTTGGGTGAACTACCGGGGCGGCCATGTTCAGACCCAGTCACTCACTTCCTTGTCCTTCCTTCCTCATCACATAAGAACATGAAAGATTCCCATAGAATTTTAAGATCAGGTGCTGTTTTCCCAAACCAAATTTATATTGATCTTTTTTGTTCCAGAAATTCACCTATTTTATATATATATATATATATATATATATATATATATATATATATATATATATTTTTTTTTTTTTTTTTTTTTTTTTAAGGTCTTCCTGCAAATAAAGTCAGCATGATTCCTTTGTCCTTGGGATCAGTGTCACATATGTGTTGTAGGCAAACAAAGAGCTAATGCATAGCCATGCAGTAACAGGATAATTTGGAGAAGACAATTAGCAGGGGATGAGCCTCAGCAGGAACCAGGAAAACAGCCCTCAGCCTGCCCAACCCCACCTCAGATGCCATCCGCTTCTCAGAACTACACTCAGCTACCCCCGTCAGTGCCATGAAAGCTCCACACTCATCCTGACATGTCTTGTACCACAGCCCACAGTCAGCGCAGATGGGCCCTTTGTGCCTCATGAGTTGAATGTCCATGTGTGCAGCCTGTCACTACTGACCCATCTGCCCACATCGTCACTGTTGTTGTGGCCCTCTCGGTGCCTCATGCTAGGTGGCCATGCAGACAGCAGGTCCCAACCCTCTATCCCAAGCTAGGTCAGAACTGCTTCTCCTCACAGAGTAAGGGACTCAGGTCTGGATCTGTTTCTTCCTGTGTTCTGGCTGAACTCACAAACTAGCCCAGAGAGGAGTCTCTCTTCTCCTTTCCAACACTCTCACCCCTCTGCTTTTGGCTCCCCATCCCCTGAGATCTTCAGATCTGGTCCATCCCCTAAGGAACGAGCAGGGATGGGGGAAGGGATGTATTACAGAGATGTCATATCAGTAGCATTTTTAAGAAGGACAGATGCTCCTTGACTTAGGACAGGGTCACATTCCCATAAAACTGTCATAAGTTGAAAATATATTTAATGCAGTACACCCAACCTACAGAACATATGGCTTAGCTAGCCAATTTTAAATGTGCTCAGGACACTACCCTTAGAATACAGTTGGGCAAAATCATCTAACACAAATCCTATTTTATAATAAAGTATTGAATATTTCATGTAACTTACTGAAAGCTATACTGAAAGTGGAAACACAGTGGTTGTATGGGTACTCGAAGTATGGTTTGTACAGAATGCCTGTTGCTCTCATGCCATCATAAAGTCGAGAAATCCTAAGTCAAACCATCGCATGTCTGGGACCATCTTTAGACTAAATTCAGGAAACAAGATATGTTAGAAATACGGTGTCTTCAAAATCATTTCCTTTCCCTTTTAAAAAATAAGAACGTAAGGAAAAGTTACCCCAGATATTGAGACATCTCAGATTATGGGCAAAATTTGGTGTAGGAATAAAAAAGGTTCATGTCATTGGAAATGTCTGCCACCATATGATTGTAGATACTTTGTTTTATTAAGATGCCACCATCTGTTTCACCAACGATTTTCAAAGGCCAGAAGAACCAATTTGAAAGATAAAGTATGGAAAAATAACTCTTTGTTTTAATTAATTAAAAATAACTGATATATAAAAATAACTTCTTGTTTCATAGCTTCTATTATCATATATAGTCTTCTGGTAATATTATTTTCATAGTAATTAACTTTAACCCACGGTCTCTCAAACGCTTCATATACTTCAGGCATGTAATTATTATCACAGGGAATTATTTCCCAGAATTCTTCTAACCCTAGGGAATAAGAGGGACTCCAGTGTTTATTTTTATTGTATCCTCCATTTTTTCTTCTTCTTTAAGAATGGAGGAAAGAGTTATTGCCTTTCAGCGCAACCTGTTTTCATTTTGCAATTCTTTTATATTTTCACTTGCCAGCCTGGAGAAAAATGTGTTCAGAATATTGGTACCTAAGAAAGGAGAATATGGTTGATTTATTTCCTGTTCGCAGAGTCCTTGCCGTGTGCACAAGAGTGGGAGCTACATGGCCAGCAGGTTAGAACCCCGCACGCTGTGCGCCCCGGGCATGAGCGTCACTGCAGTCCTGACTGTCTGACTCGGTGACGGGGCACTGCAAATAAAAGAAAGCACAGGGTACAGGCAAAACAAATGGGACAAGTGTGGGTGGAGCAGACACACGAACTGAGCATTTGCCCTTCAAATTCGCCCTTGAAGAATTCTCCCAGCCCTGCTATATCCAGCTCTTTAAGAGCAGAAATCCTGGCCGGGCGCGGTGGCTCACGCCTGTAATCCCAGCACTTTGGGAGGCCGAGGCGGGTGGATCATGAGGTCAGGAGATCGAGACCATCCTGGCTAACAAGGTGAAACCCCGTCTCTACTAAAAATACAAAAAATTAGCCGGGCGCGGTGGCGGGCGCCTGTAGTCCCAGCTACTGGGGAGGCTGAGGCAGGAGAATGGCGTGAACCTGGGAAGCGGAGCTTGCAGTGAGCCGAGATTGCGCCACTGCAGTCCGCAGTCCGGCCTGGGCGACAGAGCGAGACTCCGTCTCAAAAAAAAAAAAAAAAAAGAGCAGAAATCCTGTCATATTCATGTTGTTGCTGTTGTTGTTGTTTTGAGAAGGGGTTTCGCTCTCGTTGCCCAGGCTGGAGTGCAATGGAATGATCTTGGCTCATTGCAGCCTCTGCCTCCATGTTCAAGTGGTTCTCCTGCCTCAGCCTCCCGAGTATCTGGGATTACAGGCGCACGCCACCACACCTGGCCAATTTTGTATTTTTAATAGAGTTGGGGGTTTTACCATGTTGGTCAGGCTGGTCTCGAACTCCTGACCTCAGGAGATTCACCTGCCTCGGCCCCCCAAAGTGCTGGGATTACAGGCCTGAGCCACTGTGCCCAGCCTCATGTATTTTTAAATCTCCCACTGGCTTTGCCTAGAGTAGGAACTCTTAATTTAAAAGTATAAGTGGCCGGGCGCAGTGGCTCACGCCTGTAATCCCAGCATTTGGGGAGGCCGAGGCGGGCAGATCACGAGGTCAGGAGATCGAGACCATCCTGGCTAACATAGTGAAACCCCATCTTTACTAAAAATACAAAAAATTAGCCAGGCGTGGTGGCACGTGCCTGTAGTCCTAGTTACTCAGGAGGCTGAGGCAGGAGAATCGCTTGAACCAGAGAGGCAGAGGTTGCAGTGAGCCGAGATCACACCACTGCACTCCAGCCTGGGTGGCAGAGTGAGACTCTATCTCAAAAAAAAAAAAAAAAGTGTAAGCAAGCCAGGAAATTATAACTGAGACAATGTGTGTGTGAAGGCCTTGTAATCTGTAAAGCACTTACAGATTAAGGTAGTAGTAATATGGCCGGGAGTGTTTGGGAGTTTCTTATTTAGGTTGGAGGATCTTAGGGCCTTGCTAAAGAAGATGAAGGCCTCTATTAGAATCTCCAATATTTCTGAGTCAGGCCAATGGCACGATGTATCACCATTTTACTTCCAGTTATCTCCACGGCCTGTTTTCCTGTCTCTAATCCTTGTGGACAGGAACTTTTTGATATTGATATATAACATATGCCTGCGAACCATATTCATTCAATTAACAAATGTTTACTGAGCTTCCACCGTGTAACAGGCACTGTTCTAGGCACTGGAGATTCATCAGCGAAATAGAACTTATCAAGTTTCAGCCTTCATGGAGTTTATGTTCTACTAAGATTTATGTTACAGCAGAAACTTCCAATACTTTTGATCACTGAATACACTGGAGGCAGTGGTCTCATAAATGCCTATGCTGTACAAAATTCTATACTGAGGCCAAGTTACAGTCTGATTCCAGGGATCAAAAGCATTGGAAGAATTGGTTTCATTCAAATTCTGATGAAAACCATTGTAATGCTAATAAAGTCTGTACTTGCCTACGAGACTGTTTACTGCCTTAGGGATCTCTCCTCCATACTTACACAAATCCCTTATTATTTGGTAGACTGAGAAGAAAAGGTAGCTTCAGAGTGAATTAACATTGATTGAATACATGCTGTCTGTCACGCACTGTATGTTATAGACTTTAATATGCATTGTTTTATTTAGTATAGAGTCACTATGAAATGAGGATTCTTACTTCATTTTACAAATACAATCATAACAGCTCTTTTTTTTTATTAACCATCTCCCATGGGCCGGACACATACTAGGCCCTTCCTTGCATTGTCTTATTTAACTGTCATAAAAACTCTATTAAGCAGGCACTTTTAATTTCCCCCATTTTGCAAACAAGAAAGCTGCAGTTCATAGAATAGAAGTAACCTAAAATAACAAAGTTGGTATGGAGCCAGCTTAACACCGGATTCTCCAAAGCCAACGTTTTTCCCCGTATTCCACGTTGGTTCAGGCAGGTACATTCCCTGCTTCCACCTCCTTTTGCATTTTTGGATGTGCTTCTTTATGTAAGTGATAATAAGACTGACGCGTTCCAGTGTCCCTCCAAGTGGGCCCCCGCCATTGAGGCGCTGCTGGTGTTTCAGTGAAGCTTTTTCTGTTCTTGCCTCCCCTTGACTTAAATTACAGGTCAGCATGTGGACTCTTTAGTTGTTACTCCCTAAATAATTATTTTCATTTTCTTAGCAGTCCTTTCTTTCCCTGGCCATGCTCACAAAGCTGGGACCTACATTGGATACTACTGCTGCGGGTTTACAATCCTCAGTTGACCTGTCTGCGGGGAGACGGAAGCCCCTGAGTACTTTGCCCAGGATGTCTTGTCTTTGGAACTCCACTCCTCCCCAGCTTGGCAAAACCCTTGGTGTGCTCTTCTTTTAAAACAGGGTAAAACAGATACTTAACAACTGTCATTTCACAGTTGGTATTTTAATAGATATTTCTCCCAGCTGCTATTGTTTTAGATTTCTTAAGTAAATATTTTTGTATTGTGTTTGAGTATCCTAAGGTAATATTATCACAAAGGGTACAGTTTTATACATTGAAAATAAATTAACTTGGGTACATGCCATATTCCAAAGTGTCAGCAGAGGAGGGGGAGTAGTGTTAATGTAAATACTTCTGCAGAGTAGTAATAATGGATGGCAGAAAAAATGAAGAGAAAGGAAAGATAGGAGGTGAGATTTTACCAGAGTGAGTCAGGGAACAAGCAGACGTAGAGAAGGCCTGGAAAGGTTGGATGTACTGTAAGGAGAGTTTTCAGCAATAGGATACAGCTGAGGCTAGGTTTGGCAGAGCTAGGTGGAGTACTGAAAGGTGATGTCTTCGAAGCCTGTGGTGTTTTGAGTCTTATTTTGCCCTGTTTACCTTAATGGAAGGAAAGATCCTAGACCACAGGCCCTGGGTTCCACCTGATTGGCTGCGGCAGGCAGCATGAGCATCCCTGCCGGGGGCATCAGCTTCCCTTCTCTCTCTGTCCTCTCATGCACTTGTTCTGCGCCATGGCCAGGTACTGTTCCCTATGGGGGTGGTGAGAATGTTTTTAAGGGCCTATGCTCAGGGACCCTCATAGAGCAGAAACCCAGATTCTGCAGGTCTGGAAGAGCCTTGGGAAAAGACCAATGTGGCCTGTGCCGATTAGGAAGTCAGTGATACCCTGACAGCCTGCAGCTGGTGGGAATGGTCTGTGCACTCTCCCGGCTGTCAGCTGCCCTCACTCCTCACTCTGCTGCAGTCTGGCCTGCCACCTTCCTTCTTGTCACTTTCCTTCATTGTATCTTTGGCCCAATTAACCAGTCTCCAGCTTCTTTCTTCCTTCCCTAGCGTGCGGGACACCACCTTCTCCTTGTCTGCTCCTCTCTTGGCTCCGCTTGACATTGGAGGCCCCTTGCACTCCATCTTGACCTTCCCACACCCTCCCTAGATGCCCACAACTCATGGCTCCAACCTTGTGTGCTCTAGTGATTCCCCTCCATTTGTCCTTTCCAGGGGCCTCCTGGGCATTTTCTGGTTATGCTACCAACACCTCGTATCTAAACTAAAACTCCACATCATCCCTAACCCATCCCCAACCTAATCCTTCAGGCAAACTCAACACTCCAGCATTGCCTCTCATCATCCCAGTATTTCCTTGTGCAAGCTGGAAGTCACTTCACTTTCTCCCCTTACTTTACCGTAGTCAGTAGGTCCTTATGCCCAGCAGGTTCTCTCACTTATTTCCCTTGCCGGACCTTCTTTATGTCTCACGAGTTGATTGCTTTTTGTTGGTTCATCAGTTTCTGTCTGCATTTTGTACAGCCCCCTCCGGGTCTATCTACCTCCTGTTCTTTGCTCTGCCAGGCATCCTGCCTATTGCCACCGGAAAGAATATCTTTCTAAATTCCAAATCTGATTCTGCTGCTTGCTTAACACATGCGTGTAAAAGTAGCATAATGGGTTATCAGAAGCAGAATTCTTCCTTTAGAGGCTAACATTTTGTCAAGAAAATTTGACTAGGTAGATTTCAAATGCATAAATGCTGAATGAGAGCCCAGTTAATAGTCTCGGACTATGAATAACTGTGTCCAAGACCTTATTATGTTTATATGAAATAGGTTGGATTTGCTTATAAAATTCAGGTATCCTAGTAGATTCATTTTCTGCTGCTGGAAATAGTAAGGACTGACCCTGGGTCAAAATTTGCATTTGTTTCCTATCATGTAGAAACTTCAGCAAAATAAACAGGATCATAAAATTAACATTTTATTGTTCTTCACAGATCTGTATTCACTTCACCACTCTCACTGAATTAAATCACCCTGTTACTTGTTTATGTAAGGAAAAAAGAACAAGTCAACTGACTGAATAAACTATGGGTTATTTACAAGGCCCCTGGACTTACTCCTATTTAAATGCTTATGATTTGTTAGTTGACTTAATATATCCAGTGCCTATACAAATTCAGATAATCAATGATGTCTCTTTAAACACAAATCCTCTAATAAGAATTTCTTTTTTAACATGAGTATAGAATTACGCTGGGAGTGACTTCTCTTAACACTGTCATTTTGCTGCAGCATGGTTAAATTAAATTTACTTGGACTGCCCTGTGAACCTTACCATCATTTAACATTGTTGTTCCAAATTCTCAGTAAGAAATTTTAGAACCCTATCATGTCTCTCAGTATATAGTTTATACTCCCATAGTTTATTTGAAAACAAGTTGCATTTAATTTTATTCTGAATTTCGATATATTTTTAACCACAGATCAGAATTGTTTGTGGGTGTGTTAAGTAAGAAAAATCAGGAAAATAAGAATAGGAAAACCAAAATAAGTCCTGGGATGAGGTTTCCAAGCAAAAGGGTGGTTAGAAGGCAGGACAGTAAGCAGCCAGGAGCACGGCCTCAGGTCTGGTTCTGAGCTTCCCAGCAGCCTATGCAGGGAGAGGACCATGATTAGTAATGTGAGTCAGAGTGTCTGTGATACCGAAGCAGCCACTTTCTTAGAAGAATTGTAACTCTTTCTGGTGCTAAAGCGGAAGACATTCTCTTATGCTCTTTCAATGAAGGGCAGCATCCTCAGCATAAGTACAACAGTTTCAAAGGGCCTGTGCTTCTGGCATCCTGTCACGTTGGCTGGTAGCACAAGGCCACAGTAGGAAAGCATTTTGCAGGTAACCAAAATTGCAGGTCCTTGGCACATCCAACAGACACAGCTTAGCATATCTAGAAGAGTAGATACAGGGCTTGTCTTTTAGGCAATCCTTCATAAGTAGTGCTCAGTTCACCCCAACTTTTCATACATTTTAAACCAGTGGTCCCCAACCTTTTTGGCACCAGGGACTGGTTTCATGGAAGACAATTATTCCACGGACTGGGGTTGTGGGGGATGGTTTCAGGATAATTCAAGCACATTACATTTATTGTGTACTTATTTCTGTTTATTACATTGTACTATATAATGAAATAATTATGAAACTCACCATAATATAGAATCAGTGGGAGCGCTGAGCTTGTTTTCCTGCAACTAGATGGGTCCCTCTGGGGATGATGGGAGACAGGGACAGATCTTCAGGCGTTAGATTCTCATAGGGAGTGCACAACCTAGATCCTTCGCATGCGCAGTTCACAATAGGGTTTGTGCTCCTATGAGAATCTAATGCCACCACTGATCTGACAGGAGGTGGAGCTCAGGTGGTATTGTGAGCGATGGGGAGTGGCTATAAATACAGATGAAGCTTCGCTCATCTGCTGCTGTGCAGCCCAGTTCCTGATAGGCCACAGACAAGGGTTTGGGGACCCCTGTTTTAAACACCAGTGGATGTGAAGTTACACTCCCATACAAGCTCTAGACTGAGTAGAAAGCCAATTCTTTACCTTGAGGGATTTCCCACGGACAGAGTCAAAGACCCCTAAGAACTTTGAACCCACTGCAATTCAAAGCCCTTCTGTTCTGTTCCTTAGAGATTGTCTTTTTAAGAGACAGGGTCTCACTGTCACTCTGGCTGGAATGCAGTGGCATAATCACAGCCCACTGCAACCTCGACCTCCTGGGCTCAAGTGATCCACCCACCTCAGGCTCCCAAATAGCTGGGGCTACAGGCATGCAGCACCACACCCAGCTAATTTTTAATTTTTTTTTTTTTTTTTTAGAGACAGGGTCTCACTGTGTTGCTCAGGCTGGTCTTGAACTCCTGGGCTCAAGCAATCCTCCCGCCTTGGCCTCCCAAAATGCTGGGATTACAGATGTGAGCTACTGCGCTTGGCCCCCTTAGAGATTTTTTTAGAGGGATTATTATAACAGACCATCTCTTTTAAACAAAATAATATTCAGATGAGATCTTCAAATAATTTATAAACTGTAAGTCTGTAGGGTTAGTTTGAGTTAGGAGCCACTTAACATGTACCAAAAATGAAAACTTTGGTTTCAGAAAATTTTATCTAACACTTTTTTTTTTTCCTTTTTTTTTAGATGGAGTCTCACTCTGTCGCCCAGGCTGGAGTGCAGTGGTGCTGTTTCAGCTCACCACAACCTCTGCCTCCTGGGTTCAAGCAATTCTCCTGCCTCAGCCTCCCGAGTAGCTGGGATTACAGGCGCCCGTCACCATGCCCGGCTAATTTTTATATTTTTAATAGAGACGGGGTTTCACCATGTTGGCCAGGCTGGTCTCAAACTCCTGATCTCAGGTAATCCACCCGCCTCGGCCTCCCAAGGTGCTGGGATTACAGGCATGAGCCACCACACACAGCCTAATGCTCATTTTTAATAATGTAATATTTTGAGCTTACAGCCATTGTCTATTAACATCACTCCACTTGTTTATTAAAACCTCAATATCCACCTACGGGAAAATGGCTTTCCCTCTGCGCTCAGGAAGAGATATATTTGACTGTACTTTGTTCTTGTAGAGTGGTCATAGTTTTGTTGACATAGAGTTCCCTCTCAGATAGTGTCAAAAAAGTGGCATTAAGCATAATGTTAACATTTCTTTCTTATTCTAGGCCAGTATATTATATATACAGTATTAGGAATCTCAAAACCAGTGAGAATATTTTATATTTTCACACTTTTTCCAGTGGCAGTCAGTAAACACATTTTCTTCTGATGAAACCACTTTGTAACCAAGTAAAGCTCAAACACAGGGGTAAAAGAACAGACCTTGAGCTATGTTCTTAAGACTAACACAACCAGATTATTTTTCTGTTTAAAGAATTTGAAAGTAACTTACATCCACATACTTAATCTTGTGCAGGAGTAGAATTGTAATGATGTGTTTAAATACCTTATGCCTGATACAGCAAATGTTGAATGTAATATGCTGATAATTGGAGGTATATGTAAATTATTTCCAGAACTACCAAATATTAGCAATTTGCTATAATGGCTATTAAATGAATAATGAAGAAAAGATAAGCATGTGATTAGTCACCAAAACATAAAACTATTGTCCAAAATTTCTTGTGAAGTTAAAAAAAATGAATACTGTATTAGTCTATTGATATATATCATTCTTGTGACTAAATGTAACTGAATTTTTACTCCTTCTAGAATAGAAATCGGCTTGTGGGTCTTTGTGATTGTATTTGGTTTGTTTGTTTGTTTTAATTAAATAAAAAATTACAGTGTGCCAGGCGCAGTGGCTCATGCCTGTAATCCCAGCTATTCAGGAGGCTGAGGCAGGAGAATTGCGTGAACCCAGGAGCCGGAGGTTGCCATGAGCCAAAATCATGCTACTGCACTCCAGCCTGGGCAACAGAACGAGAGTCCGTCTCAAAAAAAATTACAATTCAACAGTGGTTTTAACACCACTATGTGCAAAGCATAGCAGGTCCTATAGGGGAAGTAATGATGGAAAGGGGCCAAGCACTGTCTTAAAGAGATGAGGAACCTGGTGGGAGGAGAGACCTGCAGTGAGTCCCCGGGTACAAGGCAGTAGAATGGGTAAGCAGTGTGCCAGGTACAAAGCTCTGGAGTGCAGCTGGCAGTGAACCTGAGCTCTGGGGGTTTGGGAGTAGGGGGACAGGAGTTTGGCATTCTCATTGGTAGAAACCGAATTTTGCTTGCTAGCTATAATTCTGAAACTACAACTTTACTGGTAATTTCCTTCTTCCTCAATCTAGTAATGTTACCAGAGAATTCCATCCCATGTTCAGTTCCACATACTTCCTTTTAAAGTCACCTTTCTTTTTTTCTTATAGCTCCTCTCTCCTTTTTCCAAAACTTTGTATTCCTTCTTCGATATTTTTATCTTTCCTTTTCTGTGTTTTCCTACTCATGTAGAACCTTGGGTTTTGAATTCTATATTTATTATTAGCCTGCCGTTGCAGAAAGGCTTTCCCTCTGGTGAAATTCTATTCATCCTTCAAAGACATCACCTTCCCTGGAAAGACTTCTCAAAGCCCCTGGCTGAGTTACTCCCTCTTTCTCTGTTCTCAGAGCACTGTGTATACTCCTGTTATAAAATAGAGTAATTTGTAATATGTGCCCAATACCAGGAGCTTTGTAAAGCTTGTCCTGTTTTGATTTGAATCCTTATAGCCTAAGGGCACCTGGCGCCTCTGTGGAGGAGCGCAGGAGTGAAGGGAGCTGCCCCGTGAAGGCCACTTGCCATTGGGTGATAAGAACACGAGGGGCTCATCTCACAGAAGTTCCTTGTTTTGTCCACATCTTAGGGATGCTAAACACAAACAGAATAAATAATTTAAATAATAGTGAAATTTTCCCCAAAACTAATGCTTCAAATGTAAAGCAGTTCTAAATTTAGTCTTCCTAAACAAGAATGAGAGTTTTTTATTTTATTATTTTATGTTTTACATCATGATAGAAAATACATTGTATAGACTGTTTTCAGAAATATGACTTGAAATTAAAGCCAATTGTGGTGACCCGTTTTAAACCAAATGAAATGATTAGTTGTAGTTGTTGGGGAGGAGGGGGTGAAAGGGCAGGCTGTAGAACTGCATTGTGACAGAATTTTTAGATCAGACCAAGTTTCACTTGCCTGGGTTCGTATCTTCTCAAAGCCAGTTCTGTGTATGACCGTGACCCAGCACAGGGATCTGTATGGTCTGGGACCATTTGGGAGAAGGGACCGTGAACATATTGCAGATCTCTGTTGTAACTAATGGAACTCACACAGCTCAGATTATCAGATGCAGGCTGAGCATGGTGGCATGGGCCTGTAGTGTCAGCTACTGGGGAGGCTGAGGCGGGAGGATCAGTTGCACCCAGGAGTTGGAGTCCAGCCTGGGCAACATAGAGACCCTGTCTTTAAAAAGAGAGAGAGAGATTGAGATCTGAGGCACTTCTTAGGATATGTGGCTAGAGGGTTATGTGAGATTCAAGTAAGGTACTTTGAATCAGCCTCCAGCCTCTGAATGTTGAAGGCACTGGCTGGGTAGAAGTTTTGTGCAGATCAGCATTTCCCACAGTATAATGGGTGTCACTGGGGGTGGGTAAGGTTCTGCGAATGAATCCAGGTCCCTAACTTTTCTTCTCACGTTCCAGGGCTTCTCCACTGCTTTAATATTCAAGTATTCTTTGTGATTGTTTTGGGAGTAAAGGGAATAAGGTGCTGTGTTTCTTCTTCCTCACTTAGGACTAGTATTTTCACATAACACATGCTGGGAAATGCTGGTTCGCATGTCAAATCTGATTGTCACCTGCTTTCGGCTTGCAGAAGCGCAAGTAGGCAATCAGAAGGCCCTCCCCAAATTTGCCAAGTCACTCATTTTTTTTGCCTGCCATTGATCATGTGGGTGAGACCCTCTCTCAGGAAATGGGAGGCAGGGCGTCTTCAGAGAGAAGGCAGTGAGGACGTCGTCCAGTTGAGCCTCTGCATACTGAATGCTGGGGATGGGGCTTCACTTTGTGTGCTAATCCATGGATGAGAGCCCTCTTAAGTATTGTGATAAATACAGAGTATCACACTATTGTGGCCTTTAATGCAGGGTGCACAATTTTAAATTTTTAGTAGGTAGTTAAGATGGAACTCAGTTAAGTTGGTCTACCCTACATTCACATGGATGCTAAACACCCACAGGGAAGCTGCTGTTTGTTGATTCTGAACAGGGCTTATTGTATCATGGAATTACAAACAATACTGAGGCCAAATACCTTCTTGCTCTGAGCATTTATGCGTATAGAAAACTCAGCCTTGGATTTAGGGCAAGTAATGAAAGTTTCATGCAACTCAAAATGAAAGCATGTTGCAGATTTCTGATCCCTGAGGTTTTTAGTGCTAAAATACAAGTGGTGGAGAGTAAACTCCTTATTTCACCATTTGCAACCTGGTATCTACATACTTAAGGACAACATCCAAACAGCAGCAGTTGCTGAGACCCTGGACTGAAGCAATTAGAAGATACCAAATTTAAAAGGAAAAGACTCCAGTGAGATATGTGAATGGTTTATTACCAGTGCAGCAAATTCTTCCTGGTACTTCTTTGCACTACTATGAAGTATACTGGCTCCTTTGATGTAATGACCCTCAGTTGCCTGTCTTTTCCATGTCTTCTAAGCCAGGCATGCTCTCTGTAAGTGTCCAGAAATTGGCACCACCTTTGTGTAGCATCTTTATTTCTAGAGAATTTCCACAGCTGGGCTGTCCAGTCAAGCAGGCAGTTTTCCTCAGAGCTCTGCAGAGTGATTGCAAGTTATAGGGATGACCAGGTTCCTTCAGCCTCAGTGTGCCCTGAAGGGAGAGATGTGATAATCCCACAGGTGAAGACTCCTTTTGCCAATCCTGTGGCAGTAAGAGTCCAGTTTATATTATTCAACAGTTTTTTTTGAGACTGCATTTTTTGGCTTGACCTTCCATGTCTGTTCTTCTTGTGTTTTGACAGATCAATGCCAAGTGCCATTCTGATATTGTTTAGTTAGTATTAAAAAGAAAAAAGTGGCATGGTAACCAGTAAGCATTTGTAAATGCAAATGTTTGCTCAATTTTATTCAGTCTCAAAGTCCTCAAGTTCTTTAAAGTAAAAATAAATCCTAACACACAAACACCTACTGGATGATTCACAGGGATGTTATAGAAATAAATTATGTAATGCATGGAAATATTTTGACCTACTTGGAAGAAAGATGCTGTAACAAGTTATTTGTATTATAAATAGCCAAGCAAACAAACTTTGTTTCAAGACAATATGGCACTCCGATCAAAATAACTATCCCTAGTTATGTTACAGTGCGTGGTATTGTATTCCGGGTCTCATGTTGTTTACGGCATCCCAGCAGATAAAAGAGGCTAAGTGTATTTTCAAATTTATGGAATTTTAGCCTGGACAAGACTTTAGAAATGCCACTTCTCTGCAACAGGGAAAATTAAAGCTCTCCAAAGGGAGAAAGGGTTACCAGATTTTTTTAGTAGACACAGGGAGGTGATTCACAGACTCATCTGCATAAAAATCTACATACAGCATTCAGAGCCCTTTAACTTCAAGAAGTGAAGTAAAGTTAGCTGATGGGCTCTCTTGCCCTGGATTCAATCCAGTATTCAGGGATTGAGGGAACAGAGGCCCAGCTTGTTCCCTTGCTGTCCTTTTAAAACCAGGACACTCGGGAAGCCCAGCAAGGTTTTGACTATGCTCTATAGCCTCCCTGAATTCGGCCCTGCAGCCTTTTTTAGTTACCACCTGGTTTGTAGCTTTCTTATGAATGGTTGAGGTTACTGTACACCTGAAATGTTTGGGTTTTTTGTGGGGTTTTTTTTGGTTTTTTATTTTTTTGAGACAGTCTCACTCTGTCGCCCAGACCGGAGTGCAGTAGCTGGGATTATAGGTGCCCGCCACCACGCCCAGCTAATTTTTGTATTTTTAGTAGATACACGGTTTCACCACATTGGCCAGACTGTTCTCGAACTCCTAACCTCAAATGATCCATCTACCTTAGCCTCACAAAGTGCTGGGATTACAGGCGTGAGCCACCGCACCTGGCCTTGAAATGTGTTTATATGGACTTTTTTTCCTTCTGAATAGCCCAGTAAACATTCTGACATTTCATACATTTTAGGAAGGGGGAGGGAGAATTGTTCTGCATTTTTGTGCTGAGTTCATCATCCTTGATGACGTGTCCAGAAGAAGGTAGATGACTGATACGTGTCCCCTTTTCTCCTTCCTTCCTTGCTCATGTGTTGTTGCCAGTGACTAATAGCTGTTGGAAAGGATAAAGTGAAAGTCATTTTATTTGACTCCTATTTCCTATTTCCATAGGAAATTTTAAGGAAGACATCTAATGACCAAGAGGAATTTTCATCGTTTGTGCTTTATTTCACCCATAAAGTGGAAAATCTAGAATTAATTGATCTACCATAGGTAGTTATTCTCCATAAATTTTAAATAATTTAAAGGCTATGTCTTACATTATTGGCAGGTTCACACTATAATTTTAAAATAAAATTTAGAAAACTGTGTTCTGTAGTCTAATATTTAACTCCTAATACCTGATGGAAGCTTGAGCTGGCTTTTCTGGTATGAGATCAAGCTCATTCTGATAGGTGGGGGGAAAAAAGAAGCCAGAAAATCTTTGCCATATACATGGAGCTTTTATACATGGGGACTATACTGTCACAGTGATACTTTTAGAAGAAATATGACCAGTTTCATAAGAGGATATGTAGATGTGAGGAAAGTGCGTTTTTTCCCCTGACAAAAGTAGTTTGCAGGACTCCACAAATGAAGCATGTGGTCATCTTTGAGTTTAGGAGCATGTCAAGAGGGAACTGTGGATCTTAGCTACAGCCACCAGTTCTCAGCCTTCAGCCTTCAGGAAATTGCACTGTCTAAATAGGCACGTCTAAAACCCAACAAAAAAGGAGCCAGAGACCTCGCGGCTGCTTGATCTGCATGCCTAACTGCAGACAAGCTAAACACGTTTCATTTTATAGGTGGCCTTTACTTTGATAAATTGGTTTACGTTTTAAAAAATCTTGTTTGCAACAAAATGTCAGTGGCTATGAGGATAAATCCAAGTGATAGGGTTTAATTTTGATAAATTATAGGTCAAAGATCTTAAATGTTATTAAGCACCAGAAAGGACGCCTGGGCAGAAATACTCCTAAACTTTTCCTCTAGAGACTGAAAGGAGCATCTGCTATAGAATGGTGATGTTTCTTTCTTTCCATTATTTTATTGATTTTTTAAGACAGTGTTACTTTCAACAGACCCCATAGAACCTTTCTTAAAACCTGCAGATATATGAAACTGTCATATTGTTTTGAATATACTTTTTTTGCACATAAATTTCATATTTATCTCAACAGATATCTTTCAGTTGATTTACCATAATTTCTCTGACTGTTTTTATTGGACATTTACATTAGGACTTCAGTCCTACTTAGGGGGCTGAGTCAGAGGATAGCCTAAGTCACAGGAGCTGGGGCTTTGGGAATTTTCTAACTGTGGAGGAAGAAATTCTGCACCACCCACTGAGCCCTGGAGAGAGTTCTTCTCTCCCTCTTTGCCCTTATGTTGCACCCATCTGTCAAAACTGCACCTGTGGATGTAATCAGACGTCTGCCTTTTCTATAACTACACCTGGGCATCAACCACAGCTGGAAGACAATCGCCCGCTTTGGCAAATTGGTACCACCACATTGGCCATTTCCAACCTCAACAGCCTTTTTCATTTGCTTGGCAAGTTCTGGAGTCTGCCCACACTGTTTCCAAAGTGATTGTCCAAAACGAGGCTCTTCTCAAACTTCCAAACCTCTTCACTTTTTTTCTTAAAATTGTTTTTTCTGATGTGTAACCCAAGAGCCACGACGTTAAAAAACAAAATTGTCTTAGCTGTGTCTACTGACCTTTTTTCACTTTGAACTTGTTTAACAAATATTTTTAAAACCTTGTTCCCTATTTTCTCATGGGAACTGTACTATTTTCCTTTTCTGGGCTATTAGGAAATATTCTTTTTTTTTTTTTTTTTTTTTTTGAGACTGAGCCTCGCTCCGTCGCCCAGGCTGGAGTGCAGTGGCGTGATCTTGGCTCGCTGCAAGCTCTGTCTCCCGGGTTCACGCCATTCTCCTGCCTCAGCCTCCCGAGTAGCTGGGACTACAGGTGCCCGCCACCACGCCCGGCTAATTTTTTTTTTGTATTTTTAGTAGAGACGGGGTTTCACCGTGTTAGCCAGGATGGTCTCGATCTCCTGACCTCATGATCCTCCCACCTCAGCCTCCCAAAGTGCTGGGATTACAGGCATGAGCCACTGCGCCCAGCCAGGAAATATTCTTAATTATTAAACTTTGCTAGTATTATTAACAAAGATATTTAAACCATTAAGTTTCATCTAAATATGGCTTTGACTATATTCCAAAGATTTTATGCATTATCTTTTTCATTATTTTAAAGACACTTTCTTGGCTGGGCATGGTGGCTCAAGCCTATAATCCCAGCACTTTGGGAGACCAAGGCAGGTGGACTACCTGAGGTCAGGAGTTCAATACCAGCCTGGCCAACATGGTGAAACCCTGCATCTACTAAGATATACAAAAATTAGCCAGACATGGTGGCATGCACCTGTAGTCCCAGCTACTCCAGAGGCTGAGGCATGAGAATCACTTGAACCAGGGAGGTGAAGGTTGCAGTGAGCCGAGACCGCATTACTGCACTGCAGCCTGGACGATAGAGCAAGACTCTATCTCAAAAAAAAAAGAAAGACTTTCTTATTGTGTAATGAATTTCCTCCAAGGTCCAATTATTATTTATGACTACCTCCATGAATTTAGGGGGTTTTTCTGCCATATTTACTACATTGTGATCAATAGGTATATGCTGGTGTTTTTTCGTTTTGTTTTGTTTTACTTTAAGTTCTGGGATACATGTGCAGGTTTCTTACATGGGTATACAAGTGCCATGGTGGTTTGCTGCACCTATCAACCCATCATCTAGGTTTTAAGCTTCACATGCAATAGGTATTTGTCCTCATGCTCTCCCTCTCCTAGCCCCCCACCCCGCAACAGGTCCTGGTGTGTGATGTTCCCCTCCCTGTGTCCATGTGTTCTCATTGTTCAGCTCCCACTTACGAGTGCGAACATGTGGTGTTTGGTTTTCTGTTCCTGTGTTAGTTTGCTGAGGATAATGGTTTCCAGCTTCATCCATGTCCCTGCAAAGGACATGATCTCATTCTTTTTTATAACTGTTTAGTATTCTGTGGTGTAAATGTGCCACATTTTCTTATCCAGCCTATCACTGATGAGCATTTGGGTTGGTTCCAAGTCTTTGCTATTGTAAATACTGCTGCAGTAAACATACGTGTGCATGTGTCTTTATAGTAGAATGATTTATAATCCTTTGGGTATATACCCAGTAATGGGATTGCTGGGTCAAATGGTATTTCTGGTTCTAGATCCTTGAGGAATCACACAAATTCCTTGGGGAATTTCCACAATGGTTGAACTAATTTACACTCCTACCAACAGTATAAAAGCATTCCTATTTCTGGTGTTCCTATGCTGGTGGGGTTTTTTGCAAAAATCACTGACATCCTAACAATCTTATCTACTCTCTGTACAATTTGCCTTCTTGTCTCCTGTGAATTATCCTGGCTTTCCTGCCTCTACGTTGACCCTTCTTGCTCCCTCTCCTTTCATAGATCCTTCTCTGCCTGCTCTTAAATATTGGTATGATTTCTCCAGGGCTCCTTCCAAGGCTAATGGCTCTTCCCATTCTATGGCTTTCATCGGAACAAGCTCTTCTTACCCCATGGTGTTGCCTCACACTTCCTTGTCCCTTATTTTCAGGTTTATCGACAGTCTGAACCTCCTCACCTTAGCTCCACAACCTTATTTCTGGCAGCCTATTGGACATGTCTACCTTGTCCCATTGTTGCCTCAAAATAAACGGTCTAAAAATATACTCATAGAGCCTGTTGTCTTTATCAACTAAATACTTCTTAATCCAACCCCTCTTCTTTTCACCAGGGTTTAATTCCTCATCATATATCTCACCTGCTTATATGCGTAGATCTAATTGTATATACCCTTCCCCATTCTCTTCTCACACAATTTCAGCCCTCTCTACTACTGATTTTTCCTTATTGTGGTATATTACTGATTTTTATTATATCAATAGGAACTTTAAAATCATTAAGAAATAACTGTTATTGTAGTAATTTAGGAGGCATAAATTTCAATAACCAAAAGTAATTATTGTTAACATGCTGTCATATTTCCTTCTAATTTTTCCTACACATATATTTTCCATAATTGAGATCATCCCGAATATCAAATTGTATCTTTCACTTTTAAAAACGTAACAATGGGCCAGGCGCGGTGGCTCACGCCTCTAATTCCAGCAATTTGGGAGGCTGAGGCGGGCGGATCACCTGAGGTCGGGAGTTTGAGACCAGCTTGACCAACATGGAAAAACCCTGTCTCTACTAAAAATTAGCCGGGCATGGTGGCACATGCCTGTAATCCCAGCTACTCGGGAGGCTGAGGCAGGAGAATCGCTTGAACCCAGGAAGCGGAGGTTGCAATGAGCTGAGATTGCGCCATTGCACTCCAGCCTGGGCAACAAGAGCAAAACTCCATCTCAAAAAAGAAAAATCTTAACAATGGATGGTGAAGTTAGATTCATATTCAACAACTTCCACCAAAACAAACTCCGGAAAGACCAGAGTTAAACATGAAAAACTAAGCCATGAAACACATGGCTTAATGTCCTCAGGAACATGTTCTCAGGAACACATGGATGAATATTTTTTTAAATCTCACAATAGGGTAGGCTTTTATACATATGATGTGTAACACAGAAGCCATAACATAAAATTTGGTACACCGGACCACACAAAAAGTGAACATTTCTACATCACAAAAATAAAAAGCACCATAAACATAGCCAAATGGCAACAAACCAGAGTGAATATTGTAACTCTGCACAAAAGGCTAGCTTCTTAAAGACCTCCTTACAAATCCATTCAAAAGACCACTCGATTAAGAAAAGGCAAAGGATATAAACAGAAGTACAAATAGACCTGGGACAATGTGGTGGACATCATACATGATGAGAAAAAGGCAATTAAGATGAAATACTGTTTTTCACCTATTAGACTGATTAGCAAAGATCAAAAAGTTTGATGATGCACTGTGTTGGCAGAGATGTTGGGGACATAAACTTGTACTTCCTATGAGGAAAACAGCCTTATAATGTATAATTTTTATAATATTTTGCCCAGTAAAATATTTATCTATCTTTGAACTATCAGTTCCACTTTAGAGAATACATCCCACAAATAGACATGCACGTGATGCTACTGTAAGCAAGAATGCTGATTACAGCATTGTTTGTGGTAGCACAATTGGAGACAACCTAAACATCCATTAATAAACGGCTACCTAAATGAATTCTAGTTCATCTATACAATAGTATATAACCATTTTTAAAACTAAATCACCTTTATTTGTATTATCAAATGATCACTAAGATAGATTTTCATTTAAAAATTAAAAGCCTACAGTATGTTTAGAATGCTACCGTTTGTGAAGGAAAAAAAATGTACACGTAGAGATTTTAATATGAACCTAATGTCTCCAGAAAGCTGTATAAGAAACTGCCAACTGTGATAGCATCTAGAGAGAACTGGTTGTTTAAGGGACAGGAATGAGAGGGCGAATGATTTTCCACCTTACATCTTTTTTACCTGTGACTTTAAGTTTTTTTTAAACATCTTTTTTTTTTTTTTTTTTTTGATTCGGAGTCTTGCTCTGTCACCCAGGCTGGAGCGCAGTGGCGCAATCTTGGCTCACTGCAAACTCTGCCTCCCAGGTTCACGCCATTCTCCTGCCTCAGCCACCCAAGTAGCTGGGACTACAGGCGCCCACCACCACGCCCAGCTAATTTTGTATTTTTAGTAGAGACGGGGTTTCTCCATGTTGGCCAGGCTGGTCTCAAACTCCCGACCTCAGGTGATCCGCCTGCCTCGGCCTCCCAAAGTGCTGGGATTATAGGCCTGAGCCATGGCGCCCAGCCTATTTTTTCAGACAGTTTCACTCTTGTTAGCCAGGCTGGAGTGCAGTGGCGCAATCTCGGCTCATTGCAACCTTCGCCTCCGAGGTTCAAGTGGTTCTTCTGCCTCAGCCTACCGAGTAGCTGGGATTACAGGCATGCATCACCATGCCTGGCTAAATTTTGTATTTTTAGTAGAGATGGGGTTTCACCATGTTGGTCAGGCTGGTCTCAAACTCCTGACCTCAGGTGATCCACCCACCTCGGCCTCCCAGAGTGCTGGGATTATAGGCAGGAGCTACCGTGCCTGGCTGAAACATCTGTTTTTAAAGCTATATAATTTCATAATTTATGTAGCCAATTCTCTATTATTGAAAACTTAGGTGGTTTCTATTTTTAATGCTTATAAATCTAAAACGAACATCATTCTGTATATATCTGCATATTTCAGGTTATTTCTGTAGGATAGATCCCTAAAAGTAGGATTACTGGGTAAAATATTAAGAACATCAGTATCCATCCATTAGTATACTGTTTTCTTCACAGGAAGTACCAGTCCGTGCTCACACCAGCAGGGTGTACCTGTCCCTTTGTCTTTTCAAAAACTGCAGGTAATTTGATGGACACAAAATGATGCCTCATTTAAATTTTCATTTGTTTGATTGTGACTGAGGCTGAACATTCACACATCTATATCTGTCTGTTTCATCACTCTGTGGTCTCTTGTGAGTTATTGTTTTATGCCACTAATTTATTTACTGTGGTCTTATTGTCTTCTCAATTTATATGTGCTATTTGTATTCTAAGGATATTAATATTTTGTGATATTTGTTTCTAACTGTCTTAGGTCTTTAAAGATGAATAGGAGTTAGCCAAGAATCCAGCTGGAAAAGGACGCTCCATGTGTGGAGAAATAGCAGGCCTCCAGGAGAGAAAACCAGGGAGACTGCAAGTCTTCCAGGATGGCCGGAGTTGGTGGTCCTTGCTGGAAGCTGCTAGGTGGAGTGGGAGAGATGAGCAGGAATCCAGAGAGTCCTGTAGGCCATCCATGCCGATGCAGTTGACCGTTATCTCAAGATAATGGAAAACCATTAGGCATTTTTAAACAGGGAAGTGTGTAATAGGTTTTATTCACAACTACCCAAAAACCCGAAGCTTTGATCTCCAAAATGGATTTTCTCATGGTAATTTCACCTGCCACTCCACGAGCCTCCATTGGTTGCCCTCTTCCTTTTTAAAACAATTAAACTCAATTATTTCACTTAGTCCTTTTATTAATAGCTCTTTCCCTTGAAATGCTCTCGTCCATTTGTCTTTTCTTAAGACATGTTTGGCGCTGAACTATTTATAGGAACACTTGAAGCAGAGTTGAAAAGTTAGATGACCTTTTTAAGCTTTGTGATGCCAGAGACAATTTTTTTTAATGCCTGTTCAAATGGACAACCACTCGGCTTTATACCAAGTACTTAACAAAGATTGGATAGGGCTTATCGACCTGTGGAGGAGGAATAGCCTAGGGTTGAAAATCACAGGCTCTAGAGTCAACTGGGTTCAGAACCCAGCTCTGCCACTTACGAGACATGCGATCTTGGCCTACATTTTTGAAATCTCTCTGAGTTGTAGTTTGTGAGGATTAAATGAGATCAATATGTATCAAGTACTTAGCACACTACTCTGTGCTTGGCATGTGTATCAGAAATTGATGATATTCTTTTGTTATCCTATTGTACCCTCAAAACAGCAATGCAAATGACTGTGGAAAGCAGCCCTTTTCTTTGAAGATTTGAAAATAGGTATCTGAGGATGTGCTTATCTGTATTCCATTTGATATTAACTGCTTAAAATTCTTTCTTTGTCCTTAAAGTATTCTTTCTCTTAACCTTGGAGTCCAGGGTTTTATAAGTAGATATCTTGGCATTGTCCTCTGGTTGTTAAATTTCAACGATGAGTCTTCTCAATTTTTTATAATCACTTCTGGGACATTTCCTTCCATTATAAATTTAATTACCCATGCAGTTCAGTTTGTTCACACTTATTATTCATAGGTTATACACCTTTGCCCTATTCTGAAGGTTAATTTTTTTCTTACATATTTCTCACCAACGTATTTAATTTTTCCATGCTTTAGATTTGAATTTCTAGTTTGTCTTGTTTTAATTCAGTGTTATTGCTTCTGTCAGCCATGTACATATTCTCTAGCATTCTAATCTTTCTTTTTTTTTTTTTCTTGTTTTGCTTTTCTTAAAAGTGGGCAAATGTAATATAACTTCTATACTTTTTTTTAATTTACTTTAATAGTCATCTTACTGAGGAATAATTTACATACAATCAAGTGCATCCATTTTAAGGGTACAGTTCAATGATTTGACAAACCTAAGGGCATGTGAAAACACCGCCCCATTCAAGAGAAGGACCACTCCATTACCTCAAACCAGTCCCCTTGGGCCCTTTGTGTTAACTTGGAATGGCTTCTGTTTCTTATTTCATCTCTTTATCTACAGATCTTGTCACCCACCGAACCTGAGACCAGTACCCTAGTTATTCTCCACTGTATTCCCAGCTCCTGGCATAATGCTTATATAGTAGGCATTTAGTATGTATTTCTTGAATAAATTGTAATTTTGAATTTTGTAATCATTGCCTTCTAAAAGTTGTTTGAATCTTTTTGCTGCAAACCCTTTTTTCATTGTTTTGTTTTCATTATTGGTTATTGGTACTTTTCTTGAAGGTCTTTTTGATATTGCCTATGATATTTTGATAAGCTCATTTATTCATTAAACATGTATTGAATATCTTCTCTGTACCAGACACATACAGTGGTGAGCCAGAAAGATTAAAGTTCCTGCTATGTGGGGCTTACATTGTACCAGGAGCTCACATTATCAGAAAGAAACTTTCTGCTCTTCTTCACTCTGTTATATACCCAGAGTCCGTGTGACCTTCAAATGATCCTTGAGCTTCCTCTCCATAGGCATCGTGATCCATTTGATTATACACTACACACATACACACACCATAACCCCAAGGATGTTAAATAACTTCGAGAGAGAAGAGCCTGAACCAAGATTGGGGCTGAGGAGTTGGAGAAGTAGAGGTGATTCAGAAGGGATGTGGAAAGTTACGATTGGAAGATTTGTGATTGGTTGCATATAGGGAGTTCTGGGAAAGGAAAGAATTTAGGATGAGTCTCTAAGTATTTGACTTGGGCAGTTGACTGCATGAAGATTCTCCTACCTGAGGAAGGAAGTATTGGTCATCATGAGCACTTCAGGTTTTTGTTTGTTTGTTTGTTTGTTCTTGAGACATTGTCTTGCCCTGTAGCCCAGGCTGGAGTGCAGTGGCGCGATCTTGGCTCACTGCAACTTCCGCCTCCGGGTTCAAGCAGTTCTCCTGTCTCAGCCTCCCAGGTAGCTGGGATTACAGACATGTGCCACCGCACCCAGCTAATTTTTGTATTTTTAGTAGAGACAGGGTTTCACCATGTTGACCAGGCTGGTCTCAAACTCCTGACCTCGTGATCCGCCCGCCTTGGCCTCCCAGAGTGCTGAGATTACAGGCATGAGCCACCGCACCCAGCCAGGCACTTCGGTTTTGAATGTATTCACTGGAAGAGTCTATATTTTAGTTGACAAGTGCAAAAGGCAATTGGGTATATGGATTTGGACCTCAGAAGGAAGGTCTGGACTAGAGAAATATTGGTAGCCAATGGCATCTATATGGCAGGTGAAACCTTTGACAGATGCAATTACTGGCAGAGATCTTATGAATAAGAAAAATGGTTCACATATGTGCCCTAGAGAATACAGCATGTAAGGGGCAGCAGAATGAGATGAGCCCACAAAGGAGCTTGGGAAGGAGTAGCTAGGCCAGATATAGTGGCTCACACCTGTAATCCCAGCACTTTGAGAGGCCAAGGCAAGAGGATCACTGGAAGTCAGGAGTTTGAGACCAGCCTGGGCAGCATAGTGACACCCTCTCTCTACAAAATGAAAATTAGCAGGTCATGGTGGCATGCTGCTGTATTCCCAGCTACTTGGGAGGGTGAGGCGGAAGGATCGTTTGAGCCCAGGAGTTTGAGGCTACAGAGAGCTATAATAGGGCCATTGCACTTCAGCCTGGGTGACAGTGAAACCCTGTCTCTGAAAAAAGAAACCTAAAACTGGAGGTCTGTGTATTGCAATGAGTGCTCTTTAGACATTAAGACTTGAATATGAAGACTTGACCTCCAGAAATTAACAAGTAACAGTATCATGGAGGCATGCAACACAGTATTGTCAGATGGCATGACCTCAAAGATGCATAAGGGTGAATCAGTGATCTGAAAGCAGCAGCAGGCTCCCGGAATACACCAGCACCCTCCTCTGGGCCCTGTGGAATATGGGGACATGCTAGAATTTAGCAGCTTCCTCTTGCACATTTCAGTTAAGGCAAGTAGGTGGAGGATGTGTCCTTCCAAGTCATTGGAGGTAGATGAGTTTGCCCCACAGAGGCCAGTAGAAAGGATTCAGCTTTTATTGTTCCTAGGATACTTGAGTTCAGGTTACAGAGGACCAAGAAAAGGCACAGATGTGTTTATAGGATAGGTACACAGAGAAACCAGCACTTGAGATGCTGATGAAGATGACAGAAATGAAAGGCATTACATTAGGTGGTTTCCACATCACACATTGGATGCTAAAGCTGATATGAGCCTCCAAGTGCTCAGAGGCTGTGATTATGGCTGCATTTGGTGTTTCTGGGAGGGGACAGAGTAAAGCAGAACCTCAAGCACTGAAGAGCTTTCGTTACTGCCTGCTGTGCAACAGGGAAATTGGAGTTTTGAGTGGAAGAATCTCAGAAAAGAGTATAATCCTTGCAATGGTAAAAAGAACCTGTGGGCACTTGAGATCTAATGACAGAATGAAGAGCAAAGGCTGGGGTGGAGAAGGAAAGCCAAATGGGAGTCTCCTGTGCAAAGAAGCACCAAGAAACTGCCAAGCTTCAGGAGAGTGGAAAGGGCAGTGTGTGTGCGAGCATCATCACCTCACTGTTTCTGTGGCTGTGGGGCTGCTGCTTTGTATTTGGTTGTGTTGCCCTTTCTGCGTTAGTTTTTCATGCCGTATTTCAGACAGCGTCTGACTCATTAGGATCATCCTAATGCACAGCATTGTGTAGCACCTAGCTGCCATTTTCACAGCAACTTCTGCAAATTTTTCTTTGAAATATTCTTGCTCAGTGGTATGGTCAAGAGGCTGATAGCCAGAATCTGCAAAAAAGAAAAGCAAAGAAAAAAGAAAAAAAAAAAAGCAAATGATAAAAACCAGGGCAGGGCCAGGATTGAAATAACTGGTGATTAGCCCCCTCCCACCAAATTTGAAGATTCACTCAGATTTTTGATGACTTTCACAAAGCTGTGATCATTCGAAATAAGAATTCTTACAACTAAGGAAGAAACTCTTCATGCAGTAGTAGTTTTGTGGTTCTGAGCCAGTGAAATATTTTCCCTTAGGGCGAAGAATAACACTGGGTGCTTTAAGTGAGGCAGAAAGAGCAGGAAAGAGAGGAGGGAACCATTACAGCATTCATCTCGAAAGTGCATCGAAAATTTGAATCATGACTCTTGATTGCTTTAGACACATTTAATTCCAAGATCTAGAGCTGCTTTTCTTTAGGTAAGGACTTTGGAGAGCTGGGGAGACAAACAAGTATACATAGCAGAATATCCTGACCCTGGGCCTTGAGCTCAGTTGATATAAATTGTTGAGTGTTTTAAGCTATTTTCTCATTTCCTTAAACTTTGGAAGACCTTAGGTCTTTACATTCCAAACAGTACTCCTTTTTTCCTAGCTATTCTAAGCTAGTTACTAGCTTTTAGAAAAATGAGTTTAGCAATAGCTACTGTTGCCCATTTTGTTTTTCCAAGAAGCCCATGCAGCATACGAAATGAAAAATTTAAACAATAGATGATTCCTGGAGGTAAATTCATGTTATAAACCAATTTTGCCTGTGGAACAAATATTAGAATTAAATTATTTTGTCCCCTCTTTGCTGCCATCATTGCCAAAAAAGAAACTGCTTTGGAGGAGTATGTGGTTGTCAAGAAGAACAGTGATGCTGTGTTTTATAAATAGCCATTAGGCTATGCAAGAAAGTGCCAGAAATTGCTGTTAATTTACCTAGCTGCTATCTAAAATCTTGTTAGATTAGCAGCTGCACCTGAGGAGAGTCTGTATCTGATGTATTCCATTTGTAAAATCCTCCCATATCCCTTTAGAAGTGAATGAGCCCCAGTTATTTAGCAGCTGCTAGTACATGGATTCCATGCCCAATCGCTGTAGCCCTTTAGGATTGATACTGAGCGCTCAGCAGCTCCTCTGAAATACTCCAGCTGGTTCACAGAGGGTTAAGATCAAAGTCTCAGCAGTGTCTTACATTCTAAGTACCGGTTCCTAAACTCTTCCCTTCTCCTTTATGATTCCTAGTATCATAAGATTTAGTTTTACTCTTGCTTTTAAATGCAAATAGACCTGACATTTGAATTTTTTAATGTAAAATGCCTTTTTACTTTAAAAAACTTTATCTGAAACAATTTGTCCTTTTTAAGATAAAGTTTCCCAATAAGTTATATGAGCTCCCAACACCCCCTCCGCGCTGCTCCCAAGGAAATTTATATCCCCTCCTCTCATTTCTTTGCCTGTATTTCCATTCTTCTGTTGCTAAATATTACTACTGGCATCACATGGATTCTTTAACCGGTGCTCCAAGTTAAAAGCAGAGCAGTCTGTGATCATTAAGAAGACGAGAGAGCCAGGCACTGTGGTGTGTGCTTGTAATCCTAGCTCCTTGAGATGCTAAGGCAGGAGGATAGCTTGAGCCCAGGAGTTTAAGACCAGCCTGGGCAACGCAGCAAGTCCCCATCCCCCAAAATTTTTTTTAATTAGCCAGGCGTGGTGGTGGGTGCTTATAATCCTGGCCACTTTGGAGGCTGAGGCAGGAGGATCACTTGAGCCCAGGAGTTTGCAATTGCAGTGAGCTATGATCATGACACTGCCTGGGCAACAGAGGGACACCCCATCTCTAAAAAAGAAAAAAAAAACATAGAGAAAATGGTGTCTCACATGCCTGGCTCAGTCTGCTTCTCCTTAGTCTTATGCCTTTCAATCTGGAGTAGTTGGGGTAGAGCTAGAGATAGGCCATAGCCATCTGAGTATGAGGCTGTGTCTAAGGACTGCTGAGCTGTCTGTTGTGGCTAATTATCCACACCACTCTACCTTCTGTACACACACTATGGTGTGACTGTAAGGATGCAGGATGAAGGCAAGGTTATGGCATGAGGAGAGGGAACAGTAATTGCATTAAGGCATAACAAGTGTTAAGAAGAATAGCTTTCATTTATTGAGTCTTTCTATGTAACAGGCTTTGGGCCAAATTCCAGACACACATTATAAAGCCTAGTCCTCCCAGCAGCCTTTAGCAGTATTATGCCTTTTTGACAGATGAGGAGACACGGCCTTGTGTTAAGAAGCTTGCCCAAGTTCACACAAACAGTAGAAGCTGGAGCAAGGCTACAAACCCAAGCCTGTCCGATGGGCAAGCCTTGCTCTGGAACTGCTGTCCTGTACTGCAAGTGAGCTGTCTGGTTGGGGGTGGGTGGTAGGCGTGTGCACTTTCAAGATGGAGGTAAAGAAAGCGTGTTGGCCTAATTCCACAGGTTCAACTGTGGTGGGATCCTAATGTGGACAACAGAAAGGGAAGTGAGAGCCAGAATATGGGACAAGGACTGGAAAGCATAGGTCACTATCTGGGTACATGCAAATACGATCGTCATGTAACCTCTGAATTTTTTCTTCCTTTCTTTTAAGACAGGGTCTCGCATTGTCGCCCAGGCTGAAGTGCAGTAGCACCATCATGGTTCACTGCCGCTAACCTCTGAGTTCTTGATTTGTCTCTGTACACTAAAGGTTCAATTATCCATGTAAATGGAATGAAGCCAGATGTGAATAAGGCTAAAGAACCAATAATCTAAGGAACACTTCAGTAGCAGTTTGCCATTTGTATGTGACTTGTTGAGTAGATTTATTTTCCTAAATCTGTTTGCTTAGTCATCCCAGAATGGTAGTGGATCAGCCTGCGCCACGAGCAAAGATCAAAGTGGATTATCCGTAGGGGAAGATTAAACAGTTAATTCTAAAGGAAAAACTTTAAAATTCATTTGAAAGCATAGCCTCAGACACGCTGACACCTTTTCTTTTTTTTCCTCTGAATTCATTTAGAACATATGCTGTCAGGAGGATAAGAGATGCCTTCAGAGAAAATAAAAATGTAAAGGATCCTGTAGAAATTCAAACCCTAGTGAATAAAGCCAAGAGAGACCTTGGAGTAATTCGTCGACAGGTAAGATGGTTCAATGATGTACTGTTTTTCATTAAGAGCTTTAAACTTCGACATATTCCCCTTGATTAGACAGCCGTGCTTTTGGTGTTGGTGATTTACAGAGCAGGATCATGAAACTCTGTTCCTTGTACTAATACAGACATGTAAAGGTGAACTCTCATATTTTCAGATTCAAGTTGAACTTAAAATACCAGCTTTCCGGAATTTCCAGGGAGTGTATCCTTCTGGAAAGCTGATACTTTTAAGTATGAGAAACTTCTGCATTAATTTTTTTGAAAGCTAAGTTTTTGTAAGATGTATCGCACATGTGTACTTGGATATATTTCAGAGTATAAATATATTCTCCCTTTCCTAGTATTTTTAATCATAATTCAGGATAAACAGAACGTGGCCCTTTTCTTGAAGACACCATTGTGGGTGGTGAACCTGAATTACGTTGCCACATGGGAGGTGCATCTGCAGGTGCAGATGGTGTAAAGTACAGCTGCTTGGGTGCTGACCCCATAAAGGAACCTGGAGGGTGTGTTAGTTTTCGTTTTGTGGAAGTGCCAAGGATCACCTTGACTTGTGCTTCCTTTTCTCATTCTCATGAGGTGGGTGGAGCATGTGCAGCGGCATGATCTCCTGCGTGGTCTGATAACATCCGCAAGAGTAATTAGAACGTCAGAGGTTAAAGTCACCGTCCACTGATGGGTTTTCTTGCTCTCTAAAAAACACCCTTTTCACTGTTTTTCTTTGACTTAGCAGCAATCACGCAATAAACTCCATTTCTGCTTCCATTCGTGTTTCCCTTTTACTTGCAGGAAATTTGCTTATAAAGTGTGGAGGGGGAAACTCTTTACCATTTTTGTAAGTTATGCTGTGCTGTTTTGAAAGGGCTTCTTTAGCATCAAGAGATGCCAGCTTGGCTGACATTAAATTAGATAATAATCTTTCCCTGACCCTTCTTCATGCTTGACTCTAAAAAGAATTCAAAAAAGAAGCAATATTTGAAACTATAATTTGCAGTTTATGTCAAGATTAAAGGTCTTGTTATATTGCCTACATAATGTAACAGTTCTTTCTAGAATAGCATTTCGGATTCTCCTAACCATCCTTGAGTTCTACAGCTATTTAGTAATACAGTAACTGCCACACTCAGACAGGCCTAGGAAATGATCTCTAACTAAAGCCATGAGGATAGTAAGGTACTCAGAAAAGAAACTGATCTGCACATTTATGTATACTTTGAGAGTGGCATTTATATGAGTCAGCATTTTGAAAACTCTAGAACAATGGCATTTCCAGTCACCAGTAGTTGAATTTTATGAGGTCCTTTAGCAGTGGAGCATAGAAGAACAAGCAGCTGAGTTCTTACTTTGCATAAACTCAGAAAGATTTTGTTCTTTGGCACTTACTCTGTGTAGAGGTTGGCAAAACAGGCAGGTTTTATCTTTAGCGTAAAATTATCCAGAGTATAAACTGCCTAGAAAAGGGGGATTGTAAATAATCTGTGCCATCATTTCTCCCGCTATATCTAATTGTCTGTGTCACTTCTTGGTTTGAAATGCTCAAACTACCCTTGCAAAAAAAAAAAAATACTAAACTGGCCCTCATCTGACATCCCAGTGAGTTCCCCTCCCAGGACAGACGCACTGGAGCAGTGGCATGTGCAGGGCAAGGGCGCCCTCCCCAGGGCAGCCTGGCCACTGCACGTTCCCGATGGAGAATACACACGGCGACCTTGCAGAACAGCTTGCTGTCACCACCTCAGGGATGAAAGCATTCTCATCCCTTCAGAGAACCAGTTAGACAGCAGCAGCTGGGAAGTTTCTACTCACTTCCCTTTCATGTCAAGACTCTTCCTGAATCCACATGCAGCCTTTACAGTAGTTAGGGCGTAAGGCACAGTGGCTCCCCCGGCCATCTGGCTGCAAGCTGGCGTAAGTTGCCTTTGGACTAACAGCCTATGGCAAGGTGGAGAGTCTGTATTCTTGCACACTGTTCTCTGTAACTGGCTGCTGTAGCAGCCTTCTGACCTGTCCTCCGGGTGCCCCTGCCCCTACTCCACCCCACACATGGTCTGTTCTCCACACACCACCACCACAGTGATCTTTTTCAAAAGAAAGATCGGGCCACTGCCCCGTTCAACCCCTTCAAGGCTCTTGCTTCGTGACACCCTAACATAAAACCTGAAGCCAGTGTGAGGTCCCCAGAGGCCCTCCATTGCACTCCTCTCCCTCACACTCCCTAT
Source organism: Homo sapiens (assembly GCF_000001405.40). Lineage (NCBI taxonomy): Eukaryota > Metazoa > Chordata > Mammalia > Primates > Hominidae > Homo > Homo sapiens. The sequence continues at coordinate 5,214,384 of NC_000006.12, read as the reverse complement.
TTCCTTGAACTTCTTGCTCCCATCTCAATGCTTGTGCACCACCTGCCTGGAGGAGTCCCTCCAAATGTTCCTGTAGCTCCCTCCCCCTTCCACCCAGGCCTGTGCTCAGATTTCACCTTCCCATAGGGGCCCCCCTGGGACCACACTATCTAAAACAGATTCTCTCTCTCTCCGCTGCCCTGCCTTAGTTTTTGTGACAGCACTTATCAGTACCTACTATGACATTACTTGTGGCCTTGTCTATTTTCTCCCTCTTCTGCAAGACGGCAGGGGCCATGAGGACAGGGATCTCCCCTGTCGCTGTCATCATCTCCACTGGGTGGCGAAGAGCATGGACTCTGCGGCCAGCCGGCCTGTGTTCACATCCTGACTCAGCCTACTAGCTATGTCACTCTGAGCAAGATATTTAACCTCTCAGTGCCTAATGCAAACTGCAGATGAAAGTAAGCCCTACTTCATGCGTTGTAGTGAGGATCAAGTACACTAACATATGCAAAGCCCCCGGGATAATGCTAGCACATAGGAAATGTTATGCAAATGCTTGCTGTTATTATCCACAGGATCTAGAACATCCCACATAGAGCTGGCTCTTAGTAAGTTTTCACTGACTAAATAAATGCATGAAGTATGTTCCCTGAGATCATACATCTCAGTGGCAGGGTCTATACCACCAAAATCAGGGTGTCTTTTTGGCCACCCACAGTCTCCCTCCTGAAGGAATGAACCATGAAAGGAATATGGAAATCTGATGGGGATCGTGACATATTAACCCTCATGGAGTTGTGATACTCTTCATATCACGTCTCTCTCCCACTTGAAGATTTGGACTCCAAGCCCCACCCACCCAGGTGCACATGGATCCCAGCTTCACGGTTCCACCAGTGAGGAAGCCCACAGCCACTTTTCCAGCTGCCAGACATGCATGCCATAAAGGCAGTGCTCACACTGAAATCTCACCCACAACACTTACCTGCTCACCCTGCTTTCCACTCATTCTTCAGAGGGTGGCTTCTTCAGTCACGTGAGTCAGCTGTGGTGCTAATGATACCCCTCCACCCCCGCGTCCCATAACCCTAGTAAGTTTTGCTTTTTAAAATAAGTCTCTGGACAAAAATGACCTGGTTTTCTGGGTAGAGAAACCGAGATGCAGGAAAGGTGGAAGCCTTGTCTAAGGCCACATGGCCAGGCGTGAGCTCAGGTCTTCTAGCTCCTTAGAGCAAACTCAGAAGTTCAAGGACATGGGCTCCTGAGTCAGTAGAAACTGAAGGATAGTCTTAAGTCATCCTCCCATTTTGTTCCGATGGTATTTAAGGAGCACTTCAACTCTGCTCAGAGGTCATTCATTCTTCCTTTATGTCCTTAATGTGCAAGATCTTCAGTCTTCATTCTGGCAACCCTGAGGGATTCTAGATACATCAGCATTTGTTAGCCTTCACACAGTCCTTAAGGATTACTCTCATTCCAAGAAGTGGCAGCTCGTTTTTCTTTCATGATAAGCAAGTCAGCCTCCTTTTGCCCATTTTCCATGATTATGGCCCACTCAGTAGAAGCCAGACATACACTTGTTCTTTCCTTAACATTCTTGGACCACGTCTCCCCTGGAAAATTACCATCCAGTCTGTCAGTCTCGAATCTCTTTCCCACTTCATGCCTCATGTCATAGCCCAGAATTAGCAGAGACATTCTTCTACCTTTTGATAAAGTGCCATTATTTCCATATAAGATGATTCTGTAAAGCCAGCTGACCCTGAAAGCTCTTATAGGTTCTCCCTCTCTGCAGAAAGCAAGTTCTGGGCTAGCCCCCACTAAATCTAATTTCCCTATCTGCCTCCCAGGTGAGATCAGAAAGATTTGAGAGGCCTTTTATGTCCAGACCAGCTGGAGCCAGAAAGAATGGACAAACCTGGGTGGTTTGTAGGCTTGGGCAAATAGCTCTCAAACAGTCTGAGCAGCAAAGAAGCACCAAAGGATTTCTACCCCAGACAATTAACAAGGCTTCGTAGGTGTTTTACATCAGGAACAGCAAAAAGGCAGCCAGATTTTGCTTTTGTCTTTGTACTTTGCTCCATTTTGCTGTTCTAAATAAAGATACTCCTCTGGACCCTATTTGCAAGGCGTTAGTTAGAATAACTATCAGTAAACTGCCCTGGCTTATTGTAGCTCTGCAGTTTGCCACACCCCTTTGGTTTTTAAACAACTCTAGTGTACCTTGTTTTGTGTCACTATTTCCTGTCTGTTAGCACCTGCTCTTCGAGCATCTTCTAGAGACCTGCAGCATCAGCATCACTGAGGCACCTTCCTTCCCTGTGTAGTTCATAGAGATTTAGTGTTCACCAAAGAGAAAATATTTTCTAAGCATTTTGAAATAGAGTTGTAATCTTTGTTATAGAGCTAGCTTCATAGCCTCATGTCTAGAGAAAACAGTAAAATAGAGTGTTGGGAATGGGAAACAGGAATGGGAATGCAGCACCAGAGAAGTTGCCAGAACTGGGTTTCTGGATTCTAATGAGATTCCCCTGAACAAATGAATTAAGATCATGATTTCAGGAATATTCAGCAAAATCTAAGTATTTGGATGAAAAAATATATTGTTACTATAGTACATAATTGTGCAGTAAGAAGATAAACTGGATGTGTTCTAATTCTAGATAATGGTAGGGTTTTGGAGTCATGCCCATCTTCCCATCAGCTTTTCAGGGGTCACTGTTTTCTACCACAGCAGCTGTTCTTAAGCTTGTGCTTTTTTAGTTAAGGAACTCAAAATAGTGGATGTATTACACCCAAGTTCAGAATCTGCAGTTGTAAGAAATTAAGAGCAGACACTATGTACAGCCATTAAAGATCATTGGAAAGGGGTTAACATTACACG